>NW_013171801.1:0-236512 GCF_000001405.40 Homo sapiens | reverse complement strand
CATCCTTACCATTTTAATGACTCCTGCATCTGTTTCTTTGTTTGGGGCCTGCAATCAGTTTGGCCTTAACCCAGTTTTTGTACTACAACTTTTTGGAGAAACAAAACACGTCATTAAACAACTCAATTTTAAACAAAATTTTATGGTTCTGGTAACTTGCCTATGATTGATGTCATGAGGGAGGAAGTCCACAATGTTTGGCCAATATCAGGCTTTCTCCTCCTTCCCAAACATTTAGCAAAGCCTGTGGTGTGGTGAGGGGACTCTCTTATGAATGTCCTAGTCAAGGGGAGTAATACATTGCCCAGTCTGCCTTAGTTCTCCCTCAGACTTCTGGTGATAATCTTTTTCCATTTTGTTGCATTAAAAGTTTATCTCCTTGATAAGATGTTATGCTTTCTGATAGCAATGTATTTTATTCTACTCTTCAAAAAATTTGCTATAAAAAAACCAAAAACAAACAAACAAAAAACAAAAAAATTGCTATCTTGTCTGGTGAAACCCCTTCTCTACTAAAAATACAAACAAAAAACAAACAAACAAAAAACAAAAAAATTGCTATCTTGTCTTTCTTTCTTATTCTCCACTCCTTTCTCCTTCCCTTTTTCCATTTGCTTCTCTTCCTTTTTCTCCTCCTTCTCCCCTTATCTCCTATTTCAATTATTTTCCTCTTACCCTAGAAGAAAACCTAGGCATTACCATTCAGGACATAGGCATGGGGAAGGACTTCATGTCTAAAACACCAAAAGCAATGGCAACAAAAGACAAAATTGACAAATGGGATCTAATTAAACTAAAGAGCTTCTGCACAGCAAAAGAAACTACCATCAGAGTGAACAGGCAACCTACAAAATGGGAGAAAATTTTCGCAACCTACTCATCTGACAAAGGGCTAATATCCAGAATCTACAATGAACTCAAACAAATTTACAAGAAAAAAACAAACAACCCCATCAAAAAGTGGGTGAAGGACATGAACAGACACTTTTTTTTTTTTTAAACCTGGTTTACAAAGTCCTCAGTGATCTGGCCTTTGCTTTATTCTTCCACTTCATGACTTCTCATTCTTCTCCTTATTCACTAAGCTGCAACCTCACTAGCTTTCATTCTGAGTTTTGAATATGTTAAATGCATTGCTCTTTAAGGCCTTTTCACCTGCTGTTCCCTATGCCTGGAATGCGCTGCCTCCAATTAGTGAGGGGCTGGTGGATTCTTATAATTTATATCTCATTTTAGGTATCACTCCACAGAAGAATGTTCCCAGATTACTCAATCTAGGGCAGCTGCTTCTATCATACTACCCTGTTTAAGTTCTCTGCAAAGCATGTGTCACCATTTCATACTGATATATTCGTTTTCTTTTTGAAATTTTAATTATAAAATATTCTTGAAAAAATCTAAACTATTAACTTCAAAATGTTGTTCAGGAGAATCCCCTTGCTTTCACCAATGCCTCTATTCTCAAATTCTATCCTTTAGGCAGTGGAGTGTGATAAAACAGATCTCTGCCGAAAAAGGGGGCCTCGATTTATACCATCTCCCAGTTTTTATAGCGTGAATACTCCCACCAGGGCCACATGATCTTTCTTATGTAATGTAATGGTACTAAAACCGTAATTTATCTGGTGGGGTGGGGGGTGTAAATATTTAGAGATATGTGAATCTAGCACATGTTTAGTGCCATACATCAGATTCTTGGCTATCTTTTCTATATACATTTTCTGAATTGATCCTAAGCATATGCAAAATATCATTGTCAGCATACATTGAGGAAACTGAGACTCAGAGAGGTTATTTTCCTGAGGTAGCACAGTTCTCTAGTAATAGAACTCAGATTTGAACACAGGTCTGTTTCCAAAGAAAATATCTGTTTCAACACCATACTCTGTAGGTTTTCACATAACCAAGACATTGGATAATTTTTTTCCATGCACTTTTAGGATATATTAAATAAACTTTATGACTCTCTTGATTAAACATTCTTTCTCATCATTTGTTGAAGATTCCCCAGGTTTCTTGAATATTACTTTCAATTGCAATAACTGCAATTACTTTTGTACCAACCTACTATAATCCCTGACATACATTCTGTAATAATCAGGACCTCCCAATTTCTGGATTTTCTGAGGTTTGTCTTGGATTGTTAGGACTTTTTAAAGACAGAAGTACTGAGCTACACTATTTCTGTTCCTCCAAAAGCCTTAAGAAACTCATTCTGATATGAGGAAATATATCCAGTATTGTTCCAATCTGCAGGTTAAGTGCTCTAAGCTGAGATTATCAACCATGAAGTTCACCTAAGAATAGTGCTTATTGTTCAGGTCACATTTCAATGAAAGAAGTTTTGTTTTCTCTATTCCTTTTCCGAGAAACTTTTCTACTTACAAAAACAATCATTTTAAACTACAAAAGCCAAGAACTTACAAACCAACGCCACAGACAACTTTCCTCATCATGACTGCTTTCAGAAATGTAGGAAAACTGTGAAAATACCATATTGTATTTTAATCAAGTATCTGTTTCATTGGATATTTTAGAATAAGTAATTAGAATTCATTTTAAAATTACCAGTCAATTTATGTTTTTATCAAGTTAGAATTTTCTGTGATTTCTGATAAATGGTAATATTACTTGGAAAGGATTCTACTTTTTTTGAAATTAAGTTCATGAGTACATTGGAGGCCTCATCAAATTTTTAAATGTAGGTACTATTGCAGAGCATATTCTTGCTCTCACATTCTCTCATTTTCCATGTATAGATATATATAAAGAAACATATTCAGCACCTTTTTCTGAATGAGGATGTTAATTAGAATAGAAATAACGTATTGTTTATCTAACATGTAGATTGTATCAGGTATTCTTCTAAGTGCTTTATTTACATAAATCAACTCAACTGTATTAATCCTCACCACAGTCTTGAGGTTTAGATATGATACTGATATTTTCATTTTACAGGTGAGGAACATATGGCTCATTAAGATCAGAAACTCTCCCCAAAGTTACGTGGTTAATGAGTTCCAGGATCAAGATCGGAACTGAGATGTGTTTAACTCTGAAATCTTCTACTTGACAATCATATTATGCTGAAACACATAATTTTAAAAGACCTACTTCATAACCTTCATGTTTACATTGAAAAAAAGTGTCACTTTAAAAAAAATTTACTTGGTCAAATGGTGCTCTAGCATGGTGGATGTGGACCTACGTTTGTATAAAAGTATTTTTCTTCTCTTGTATCCTATGTATGTATAAGACTTGAATTAATTTAATCTTTATTAATAATTTATTATTAAAATATCTCTGTCATGCCTACTTTTCAATATCCTGGAAAATATTTTCTTATGTCTTTATTCATCAGGCAAAGATGAAAAAAATGGTGTCTTGGAGACAAATCAATTAAAAGTGCTACAAAATAGTAACTCAGAAAGTATGAATGGATGTAAAAAATTACCAAGAAAGATTGGTAACTAATATCTGTAATGCAGACTAAAATAGTCCATGAATTTCTTTTATTTTATTTTTGTTGTTGTTTTGTTCTGTTTTTTTTGAGACACAGTTTCATTCTGTTGCCCAGTTTCATTCTGTGCAATGGCACAATCTCAGCTCACTGCAGCCTCCACCTCCTGGGTTCAAGTGATTCTCCTGCCTCAGCCTCCCTAGTAGCTGAGTTTACTGGCCTGCATCACCATGCCCGGCTAATTTTTTTATTTTCAGTAGAGATGGTGTTTTGCCATGTTGGCCAGGCTGGTCTCTAACTCTTGATCTCAAGTGATCTGCCCGCCTCAGCCTTCCAAAGTGCTGAGATTAGAGGTGTGAGCCACCACACCCGGCCTCAAATCATCCATGAATAAACATTATGTAATGATTTTCAAGATGTCTAAGAATGGATTATCTGTCTAAGCTCAGACTTTGAATACGTGTTAGGTTGAAATAATTCTCTTAAAACCCAAGGTGAATGAGACATTTTGTGGGAAACGATTTTGAGACAGCATGGTCTGTTGGATTGCAAGGACAGCAGAAACAGCTTAACTACTTGGGCACTCTTTCTTCAGTAATTACTCATCTGATTCCTCTGGAACACACAATTTAATGGGTAGTCATGTTAATTATTTGTTCTGGTGAAGCATGCTCATTGGGTTTTCTTATTGTTGAAATAAGCAATTTACATTTGCTTGGGTCCTTCACACACATTCTAAGCCCAGGATATGACAAATTTGGAATAAACAAGTAAACTCTCTAAGTAGAATTTTTAAAGACAGTTTTATTACTTTTGTATAAAATATGTCCATAAAGGAGTTTAAAATCACTTTACCTTGCATTATAAGAATAAAGTTCCTAGTTGTATATTTCATAAGTACTTCAGAGAACTGACTTTTAGATTCAAAGATTAGATGAGCTTTAAGATAGAAATGCTTTTGGCATAGTGAGATACAGATTGAGTCCACAAAGGAATGATTGTGAAGATCTGCCCTGGGGCTTATTGTGAGAATTTAGGAGAATGTGTTTTAGAAACCTCTGGCAGTTCCATGGTGATATTAGGAAATACTTGGTGGAAGTTCCTAGAAAACAAATGCATTGCTCTTTTCCTTCAAATGTCAAAAACATCAAAGAATTCAAGGACACATTCTACCCAATGATGCATGTGGGTTTGGGTAGGTACGTAAGTCATGAGGTTTCTGGGTGAATAACCACCACACAGCACCAGGCCCAGCATAAACCCGAGACTGGCAAAAATAGCAGCTGCTCATGAAATATGATTTCAGTAAAATTTGTGAGTTACTCTATTGCCTACATAACTGATAAAGCCTGAAGTTTGTAACTTATCAATGCTCTTTCGATAAAAGTATTGTCAGGCGAGGAGCCCTGATGAAACAGAGGGCAGAGTGATTCATCAGAACAACAACTCCCATTAATGTGTGAATATAATAAATTTTCACCTAAACAGTTTTCTGCAACTACCTGCATTTATTGTGTAGATGGCATGTTGATAGCATGGCTTCACCATCAAAAAGTCTTAGATTTGAAATCTCACTTCAGGTTCTTATTAGCCATGTAACTTTGGGCAAGTTTATTATTTTCTCTGAACCTGTTCCCTTCCTTGTAAAATGATGCAAACGTGTACTTATCTTCAGGGTATCCACAGAATACCTGTGGCTCATTTTATGTGCCATTAAATGAGAAAATGTATTTGCTCAGCGTGGTAATATTTCTGAATAAAACATTCTAGGGGAAATTTGACACATCTTGATCCTTTAGGGAGAAGTCTCTAAGAGATAGAAGAAGTCTGAAAAAGCCTCCAAAGCAGATTCACATATATGTGACTTTCCATTTTAAATAAAAATCACCAGCTTACATTACAAAAAGTTAACTTTATCAGTAAAGGGTAATGCACAATCCCAAGGTACCTATGTGCCTATCCATCTGTTGTCTCACTTTTTTATTCAAAACTCCCTTGGTTTACTGTAGATATTAATTTTGCTAAACCTTGTTATCTCCTATTAGAATGCTGATGACTTCATTTCTTCAACCAGACATTATTTATTGAGCACTAGCAATAACCCAGAGATATTGCATTCAGGGCACGTACAGTATAATAAATGAGAATTACATATGAACAAATGAGTGTGGCACTCTTTGATGAAGATAAAAAATAGGTAAGGGCATGTTGTGTTTGGATTGGGGATGGAGTGATCTGATAAAAGTACAGAGCAGAAAATCCCCGAGTTGAGCCCTGAAGGAAAACTAGGATTTCACCAGGAAGACATGGAGGCAAATGCATGAGGCATGACATAGTTTGATATTTTGTGGGAAAATAACAAATTCAAGATAATTGGTACATAGGATACCTGTGGGAAATGAGGTATGGCCTGCAGTTAGAGGTCACATCACAGTGAGTTTTCTAAGACAAATAAATGTGTCTGGATTTTATCCTGTCAGCAGCTGACATCAATTAAGCAAGGGAATCTTTGCTGTTACTCATTAGTAATGCCTAACAAATATTTCCATTCCTCCTTCTGGGGACATGTAATGTACCAGTTTCCAGCCCTTGAATTTAGTAACTTACTTTGACAAATTAAGTATGAACAAGAAATAGCACATGTCACTTCTGGCTGGAAATTTTAAGATTATTCAGCACTGTCTCTGTTTGCTGTGGCCACTAGCTGTGGCCACTAGCAATGTTCCAGGTGGTAGCTTTTCCATCAACTTGAGTTTCTACAATTGGGATCCCTGAGAAGGAACAGTGTAAAGCAGAACTTTGAACTGAGCCAGGGAAAATATAGTGCAAGGGAGAAATAAATCTCATAGTTTCAAGCCACTGATATTTTGGGGTTGTTTGTCACTGAAGCATGGTTTAGCTTGTCTTTATTATTACACTGTCAGAATGGTATTTTTGCAAAATCACTCTGGCAGCAGTGCCATGGACAGACTTAAGGCAAATGTGAAGGCAGGGTACCAATGCAATGGGCCACTGAGTTGGTGCTGTGGCAGGAGCACAGGGCCCAACCATGTTCCCATCCTGACTTTGCCATTTACTAACGGTAAGATCTAGAAGTCAATTGACATCTTTGAGGAAATTATTGATTTCATAGAAGAGGGATTTATTGATTGGCTTTTCCAATTCTGACATTCAATTATACAGATTAGAAACTAGAATTTATGGACAACTAGAATAAATATATTCTGACTATATAGAATTTAAAAAAATGGAATCAGAGATCTCAGTAAGTTTACTGATTTTTACTTTCACCTTTTCCGTTGCCACAACCCTTCCTTCTACTCCACCCAAATTATTTTTCTCCCTTAATCCTACTAAAGCTTTTTCCTAGGATTTTTCATTCCATCTTACTTTCCAGTGGGAAGCAGTATATTATGTTGGCATCAGATTATTCTATCTCTGTAATATATTACCTGTAGTACTTCAAGAGAGCTACCTAACCTTTCCATGTCCTAATGTTCTGATCTGTAAAATTAGACTAACATGTGCCTTGTGAGACCATTGTGAGAATTAAAACACATTATAAGAAGTACTTTGTATACTGTCTGGCATATAGTGGGTACTCATTAAATAGTAGCTATATCTATCATTATTTTTAATATTGCTAATATGCCCACTTCATTCATCTCAACCTCTCAACTCTCAGTGCTTCGTAATGCAAGGGGCTTAATTTCTGGAACTATCAATCAGCGACCAGTCCCAGTCATTCTTTGAACTTCAGGTTTTATAACTCTGATTAGGTAATAATCTCAATAACCTGAGACGTAAGGTTGTTGATATCTCAGCACTTACATGAGCCATGCTAATTTAATGGTAGTTGCAGTACTGTCAAAACTTTATGATTTTTAATTACAATTTCACTCTTGTAACAGCTACTTGAGGGTTTCTATTAATGAATATAGGCTATATATATTTTGTCACTAATTTTACTTTAGGATGAAAAATCCTCTGTTCCATGAACAACGTATAGAGCCAGTCAAGTTTACAAATTGTGTGGCTTCATTTGTATATAGGTACTTGATGGGGTGATGGTAGAATAAATATTACATGGTTTTGGTAAGAATGAACTACAGATAATAGGACAAGAAAGTCCCTAAATGAAAGGATACCCGTGTGTGTGTGTGTGTGTGTGTGCTTGTGTGTGTGCCTGTCTCTCTATGGGTGTGTGTGAATGAGAGAGAGAGAGCAAGAAAGGGGTTATATATGGTTGGTGATGTGCTACTGTTGCAGAATTAAGTTTTTCATTTTACCTGCCTGTTTTTGGACAATGAAGTCTTTCACATAGAAACATTAACATTTAAAGAAAAAACAATGAAATATGAAATCAGAAACTTGAAAAAATCTTACAAGTTACAGTTGAATCTGATTACTTCTGAATATTTTCCCTAAATGTTTGCGGCTAATTAAAGGAACTAAAGTTTTATCTTAAGTGCCTGTCATAACTGATGGTATGTAGCTACTTAGAATGTTGTGGTGTGTTGGATTTTCAAGGCTAAACCATGTTAATGGCTGAAATGGGCACAAGGGGGGCCCCATGACTTGGTAAAACTTTCAACAACTTCAATGCAATCCAGCTCTGCTTGTGCATTACCACATGAGGGCGCTCTTTCCATCAGCTATACATATATTCAGTGTTTTTTTCCCCTTCAGTGTTATTCTTTTTTTCTAATTAAAAAAAAAACAAAACCGCGTATTTATCATGCAGCATCCTAAATTTTACAGAAGTCCTAGATTCATACCATAGAAAATACATCTCCAAATACTGTAGATAACACAAACTTAATCTTAGCTAATTGGATTTGGTGAAAAAATCTGAAAGGCTTCAGATCCTATTGCTAAGGGAGAAATTATGCTGGGTAGATTTGTACTTATGGTGTCTATTGGGATTCACAAATGTGTATGTATCTCAAATAGTTTCTCTGTAAGTAAAGTTTGGAAGTGTAAAAATGAGAGAATATTCAAACTACTTCTTCCGGAAGAGCTCTGTTATCTGTTGAAATTCAATTATTAAATCTAATATGTGATGGATGGGTGCTATTTGTCTGACTGTTACTGTTTATTAAGTAATGCCTATACATTATGAAATATAAGTGGAATCCATAGTGGGAATCAATTAAAATCTAGGCATTTTTTTAATGTACAGGTTTTTTAATGTTAAATACCAATAGAAATTTAGTGCCAACTCAGAAACTTACAAAATGATTCCCCAAACCCTCATGACAACATTAGGAGGTGTATCCAGCTTCCGTGCGAATTCCACTAAGAAGGGCATAGACTAACAGGTCATTTATGACCACAAAGGACAAGTTCACTCAAGGTATGTACCAGGGATTAATGTTTAGTACAAGGAAAATAAGTATGATGACAGAAATCAATACAGACATTCACAAACAAGAACAGAGACACTTTGTTTGCCAACCAGAGAAAAGTCACAGGAAACAAAGACAGGAGGAAAAGTCAGAATTAAATTCATCTCAAGGTACCTCAGGGACAATGCTATTATTGGTGCACTAGGGCTTAAAAGGACAGACCAGAGGCCAGCCAAATGTGTACATCCCCAAAGGCATGATTGAACTGTATTTTTGCCAATTGTTTACGTAGTTTGGTAATTTCAAAGGCCAAATTTTTTTTCATCCATGTGTTCTGCTTATCACTTGCTCAGTGATGCCAAGATTTTCCCCAGAAAAGAGTGATTTCATTTTCATGAGAGCTTTTGATCTCTGTTCAAACACAGTCGTTTTATGTTAGGGCTTTGAGCTCTGATAATGTGCTGCCTTTTCTTGAAAAGAAATGCTTAAACATTTACTTAAATGAATAAGTGCCAAAGACTTAAAATTTCAAAAGGTTGAAGATGAAAGTGCAGGCTGCCCTAGAAAGAGTGCTTTGTAAAAGGTCATTCATATTGTTAAGGTACCTTTGAGGGACCAGGTATAGATAGGAATAGAATAGGAAGACAGTGAGAAGATTTTGTGGTAGATGGGAACAGGTTTATAAACCCGAGACCACTACAGACAGCTTTTAACCATTTTATAATTATTCCCGGAGCTGGTATCACTGAAATTTGTCTTTTGTGTATTGTCATTTTCCTGACCTGTTGAGTTGTTGGAGTTAAAGAACAACTCTCCTGAAATAAGGGAACTTTTATTCTAAGTAAATGCCAGGTATTTAGATTACTGTGTCTAGATGTGTAGTTTGAAGTGTGTGGAGGATTTATAGAAAATCTCAGGGAGATAATTAAGACAATTAAATGTCTGGGAAACAGATGCATGCATATAGGCTAAGGAACTGAGATCTTTTGGCCCATAAAATAGGACTTCCAAGTGCTACATGTATTTAAAATTTATACTGCAGAAAGTTACAGTAGCAACTTGCTCTCTTCCCCACATCACCCTCCTTCCAGTGCTGGAGGATGAAAGCTGCTGTTGAGATCTTTCTGGAGCCATCACTGGAGGGTTTGCTCTTTCTTCAGGAGGAACTGATAGAAATAGAGCTGACAAAGAGGCTGCAGGGATTGAAATTCGACAATATAATAAGTATTTTTTATAAATTTTTATATGAAAATTCCTTTGTATCCATGAATCGTTGGTGACACAATTGGAGAGAAGTGAAGGGATTTTTCAGATATCATATTTGAATGTTTTTCTTAATGTGAATTATTCTGCTTTTCCATTCCATTGTTGAAGTGGATCAGCCTCTCCTTTCCATAATTACTTGATGATTTTAATCACAATTGAGACCTGTTAATCAGTCTCTCTTTTGTGCTTTGCATCCAGGTACCACTAATTTCTTTGCAGAAACACTGAGTTCGATAATTGTATTGCAATTTAAAAATTTATTATGATCAATTTTTTACAGGAAACTACTGTCTTTCACAATAATTTTAGACATTAATTCTTTTCATATTGGCAAAATTATTTCCATTCTCTGATTCTCCGTTGGAGGAAGTTGTATAATCGACAACTACAATAGTTCAAAGAAGAGAGATACTGGTTGAAGTAAATGTAGAGGTGTGTGTGTGTGTGTGTGTGTGTGCGTGTGTGTTTGTGTTTGTGTCGGGGGAAGCGAGAGAGAAAGACTAAAAACAAGGGTGATAGCAAAATCAAATACAAATAGGCCTTGTCCAAACATCATTCTGTAAGCAATTCTGCCTTACCTGGATCCAGGGATGAGGACAGTGATGCTACTTAAATTGTGTGTATTCTGTTTAAGTAATTAATGGATTATGTTAACTAGAAACAATATAACAAGGAGGTTAGTTTTTCTTCCTTCTTTCCTAAGGATTTTAGCCAATTTCAGATAGAAAAACATTTTTTAGCATAAGTATGTCCCAAATATTGCATAGGATATACTTATCCTAAAAAGATTCATTGTTTATTCAAAATTAAAATTTAACTTGGTATCTTACCCTTTATTCATGCTAATTCTGGAAACCTTACATATGACCAAACACCCAGAGGAGGTGAGGATGCAAATCACGTAGAAAATGAGCATTCTCGGCAAAGGAAACAGCAGATGCGAAGGCCTTGAGTTAGGAATATATCCAGTGTTTTCAAAGGTTGGCCAGGAGGCCAGTATTATAGTAGGAGTGTTATAGTAGAAGGAAGAACATTAGGAGGCATAGTCAAAGAGATGAGAGCCAACATTTAAAGGTATTCTTACTTTTATTATGACATAGGAATCTCACGGAAGGCTTTGAGCAGAAGAGTGAAAAAACATGGCTGATATTCTGAAATGATCGCTCTTGTAATGATGTTGATTTTGAGAATAGACTCAAAATGAGAAGAATGGAAGCAAGATGCCCAGTTTGGAGGCTACTATGCTACTCACATGAGAAATGATAGTGGTTGTGAATAAGGTACTTGTAGTCCAGATGATGACAAGTTGCTAGATTCTGGATATTTTTAAAGATAGTGTTATTATGACTGATTAATGATTTCCTATGTGGCATATGACAAAGGAACAAAGGATAACATCAGTGTTTTTGTTCTGAACAACTAGAATAATTTTGTCTTATTTAGTTATATATAGAAGAGAGTGTATAGAGAGGCTTTGTGTGTCTATTAGACCAGAGGAGAACAGTTCAGATTTTATTTCAAGAATAATATAATTTCTTTGTAATAATTCATTGAGCTGCAAAATTATAAGTTATATACTTTTGATATGCATGTGACAACTTCATAAAATATTTAAAAATAAATAAACAAAATAAAAATAAGTCAACAGAAACAAAATAGCATGAAAGAAAACCCAAGAATGAACATGTTAAAATGTATAAGGCCTACAAATAAGATCTGAGATCTTATTAAATATCTAACAATTAAATATGAGTGCTTGTAAATTTGCCAACGAAACTGAATGCAATTCCCACTGAGTTTATGTTAATCTCAAGACTAGATTAAGAACAGCTGGGATGTGGGGAGAAATGGGAAGCATGCCACCTAATTGAGAGGGACAGAGGCATCATGAATAGGATGAAGTGGTAGAAATGCACAGGAAAGTTGGAACCAGAGAAATAGACAAGACTTGGTCCCTACTGCGATAAAGGAGGAAGGAAAAGTGATGTCCCCCTATCTTGCACTGGGACACCTCCAAGACAGTCCTGTCCTTCCCTGAGATGGGAAATGCAGATTGGGCATAGTGGAGAGTTGCGAGAGGTCAACGGTGATCAATAGCTTCTTCCCTTCCTGCTACTTCCTGCAGTCTCTCAGGAAGAAGGTTTAGGAAATAAAAAAACAAAATTAAATAAATAAAAACAATTTAAATAGTCTGTTTATGAAGTACATACATTGTCAAGAATGTTTATTGCCATTGCATATTTTAAATTCTAACAATAATCTTTTACAGCTATAGAACACATTTTTTTCTTAAAAGAGAATGAAAGACAATCCACATAATCATTACTTCTGTAATTAAGCTGACTAAAGAACACGATGCAAAACAAAAATATATTTTAATGCATAATCAGAAGTAAAATTTTAAAGAGGGGAAAGGCATTTAATATAGATTTCACTGATTTCTTCATCTGTAAAAAGAACAATAATATTAAAATAACAGTAATATTAAGTTGGTATTTATAAAATGTATAAAGGCTCATAAAAGCAAAATTGAAGTTTCTCTGGCTTTGTAATTTCAACATTTTCTTTTTGCTGCAACTTAGTATTTCTTAAAATAAGTCTTTGGCAGTCAATAACCTTTTTTAAATAACAGATTTATAATAGGCGTAGGCATTGGAAATAATTCAGGGTCTTTCTTTTGTACTTTATCATTTATATATGTGTATGCCATCTGTGGGGATTCTGATTGTCTGATCAATATTATCTACTGGCACTGTCACTGAAAATTTTTACTTGGTGGTCTTCCTCTGCTTTATGTTGAAAGATCTTTCTTGAGAGGCTTTTTGGAAAATTTGGAGTAAACAAATAGCTAATAATTACATTCATAAACTAAATATGAATTCTGTCTTAAAATGTTTAATAATACATTTTTGGATAGTGAGGACAATAAAAAATAAGACAGCAGATATCATGACTTAATGAACATCAGGCTTTTAAATTATTGGAGCCAGGTATGTACTTAGAGGAATTGTTATCACTGCTTTAATTGTGAGTTTAAATTATGCACAGTTACTGATTCCTACTCAGTAGACATATAGATTTGCCAAAAAAGTAAAACAAGCTTTGCTATTTTCTTGCAATGCATAGTATATAATTAAAATTTAGACTGATTTTGGAAGGAAAAAAAATAAGAACATCGAATTATGGTGTTGATTTCTTGTATCCCTGGATTGCCTTGTTGCACAACTGTGGCTTCTAGCCCAGCAGCATCGGCATCACCTGGAATCTGTTGGAAATGCAGAATTTCAGTCTCCACTGCGGACCCGCTGAATTGAATCTGCAGGCCAGAAAAATCCTTGGGTGATTTTCCTGCCAATCAGAGCACTGGAGAGAAAGGGGAGGGGAGGAGAGAGAAAAATGAGAGAGGTGGGGAAGGAGGAAGAGGGAAGGAGAGAGACAGAAAGGGAGGAGAGGAGAATGGAGGGGAGGGAAGGGGAGGAGAGGAGAGGAGGGGAGGGGAGGGGAGGAGAGGAGAGGAGATAGGGATGAGTAGAGGAACGGAGGGGGAAAGAGTGGAGGAATGAGATAGGGTAAGGAATTGCAGAGGGATGTGGAGTGAGGAGAAGGGAAGAAGGAGGGCTTGTGGATGTTTTAAGATTATGTTATTTTAACATATATTCTAAAATTGTGGTTCGAAGACAGGGGCAAGTATGAGGGTTGGGTTTTTACAAATGATATGTCTGTACCAACCATCCTAACTCCAATATGGTTATTCTTCTCTCAACTTTAGTAGTAATATTGTAAAATATTATATTGATCATTTTGGGGTCAATTTAATTAACTTTAATTTTCTAAAAGTGGGCTGGTTCTTTCCAGTAGTATTAAATTCACATTTTCTGGAGTATTCATGAAGAAACCAGATAATCACTTGTTTTCTACAACTTACTTCCTCCACATCCTGTTTGCCTCCTTTATTTTAGTAAAATGTACTCAAGACTTTACTCCTATGAAAAGGTGGAAAGCTAATTGGATTTAGACTATTTCTGGAAATGTTCACTTTTATATTTTAGATAAGTCAGGAGGCTAGGTGAGAAATGATTGTACTTGCCAGTACTTGACTGATTTTATTTGCACAGAAAGGAATTTTTTTCTGAAGGAAAAATCCCATTGATATGTAAAAGGATACGGCAATAACAGAATTTAGTGAGTGCTTACTATATTATAGACATATTACATAATCTCATATGCTACTAAAAATTATTAGTTCAGTATGCTAAGCCCTCATTTAACATTGTTGATAGGTTCTTGGAAACTGTGACTTTAAGTGAAATGATGTCTAAGGAAACCAATAGCTAATGGATATAAACAAGAGTTAAATTCTTATGGTATATTTCTGCTCATAAAACCATCACCAAACTTCTAAATAAAGACCAAAACACTTCTAATATTAAACACTGAAATAAATGTGAGTCATACATACATTTAAGAAGGTTAATAAAAACAAGTAAGACAATTGATTACCCAACGATTCCAGTTCAGGGCTGCAGGTGGCCAGAACATGCACATCTCTGGAATGTGAGAGGAAACTGGAGTATCTGGAGAAATGCATGAAGTCAAGGGGGATAATGTGCATATTCCATAGACAGTGGCTCCAGCTGGATTCGGTATACATTTTTCTCATCAACGTTGTAACAAAACGACGTTTAACTAAATGATGTTATGTGAACACCTGCTGTACTAGCATTTTCCCAGTGCTGTTTGAGAAAACACCAGAGAAACAATTTGCCTTGAGCTACATTCTTTTTAATTAATGAACCTGAAATTTTTAACCTATTGTAGCTTATTCTAGCATTAATTCTATTTTATCTGATTCCAGATCCATATTATTTAACCACTAAACCAATATACTCTACTATCTATTACGCATATTTTTGTCTGAGTTTATGGAATATTTTATAACAAAACAATTTAGAGCTCATTTGTTACATCCAGGGTAAATCATAAGTTACCTGTATCCATGAATGGTGTACACAAAACAGGTATATTGATCACCAGAAAACCAGGGAGTCTATTCTATAGTTAGGTGTTTAATATGAACGTTGTTTTGATCATATTCATGGTCATTTAAATGCTAAGGAAAAATAGAAAAACACAGTTTCAATTAATAAATATTTTTGGTTAATAATAAAAACTTTTCATAAAAGTTTTTTTGCTAGTTAAAATAAATGAGAATCCAATTATATTTTGAAATAGAAACCACAGTAAAACATTATAAGTAAAACTAGCCAATACATTTATAAAATATTAAATTCAACGTTGAATGCTAATTGAATGCTAATGAAATGTTGATAGAACTATTCCAAGAGAAATACTTCCACTTTCTCATAGTCAAAAGAGTTAGATACTTGGATATGACAATAATACTATTTTATTATTCAAATAATGTAATTAATTTTCTCACTAATTAATTAATTACCATTTTATTTTTATTATTTTCCCAAAAACTTTCTATTATTATTTCAGGGTTTTGAATGTGTCATGTATGCATAAAATAATTCGTGTGAAAGTGTTGAAACTGAGTGGGAAGCATTAAATTGTATATATAAAGGCTACTTGCTTGAAAACGACCCTCTGTTTCAATTTATTTAGAAGTGGTGGCTTATTTCCTGTTAAATGACTTAATAATAATGTTAACATGAAGAAAGATTTTTGAGTGATTAAGCTATGCCAAATTCTTTACAATATTCTTTCATCAATTCTATATATGAATTTGTAAGATTCTAAGTCATTACCTTCTTTTTTTTGAAGATGAGGAAATCTGAGGCTTAAAGGAGTTAGGCAGAGTTTTAGGATGTGGGAAATTTGGGATTAAGACCCATATGAAGAGCAACCCATAACCTCCATATTGCATATTTATTTGGTCCTTCTATTTGGATTGAGACTAATTCTACTCTCCCTCCCTATGTAGATGGAGGTTAATTTCTCATGAATTATATGTCACTGTTTTCATATATCTAAAATAATTTATGAAATCATACTTTAGTTATTCATGCTGTAGGCAAGAAAAGTTTAAATCATTTTAAATCATTAATAATTCCTCTGACATCTCCATGTATAATCTTTGATTTACCATTTTATTATCTTTTATGATCGGCTCAAAGTTGCTGGATTTCTTTGATCCTTAGGTGCATGTTTTTCATATTTAAATATCCTCAACTCACGATCTATCTAATAATAGATGTCTCCTTACTGTGTTTAGATTAAGTTTTAAAAATAGTGAATTTTTTATTAAATTCACATTTTAATGTCCTGTAAAATATTACATCAGATTTTGCATTGAAACAAAAGAAATGTGTAAAAAGAAAAGCACAGGAAGAGAGTGGCAGGATGTAATTTTGATTTTAGTGAGAATATATTTATTGTCCAAGTAATGAAAGCAATGCTGTACTTTCACACAGTGAAAGAGATAAACACCCCTAAGAAAAGAAGCTGCATTGTTTTGTGATTGAGATGTATAGAGAAGTTTTATTTCACATGGCAAGCAATGAACAGGAAGGGGAAAAAATAATGAAATGTTTTGGAAAAAAGAAATACATTTCAAAGCAATGAGATATATGACCCAACCCTACACAGACATATATATTGACAATGTACTATTGATACTTCTTTTGGGCTTTTGAACTTCACATTTTTCTTAGTAGTATGATAAGTAAATCTTAGATAATATTTAATATTAGCATCGTCATGCACAGTGCTTATGCTGTGTATTATTTTTATAACTCCTTAACCTACTTTCCCCTTCACAAATCATTGAATTTTAATTAATCAATGGTTTATTTAAGATACAATCAGTATAGCTTTCCACAAGAAACTTTACTGCCATTCTTTGAATAACTTCTCCTCTGGCACATATATAAAGAGAACAGAGGGAATAAAGTTGTTGCTAACAAAATTACCTTATTTCCAAGATTAATGATAAGCAAATAATTCTTCTGAAAGGATCTAATGCCTAGATTTACAGCTATATAAACTCTTTAAAAAACTCAGGGCCTGTTATCTTTAAACAAACCAGTCTTTTCATCTCAGCACCACTAGTAATTTATATGGTTACTCAAAGAATTAATGGCTTTCATATCCTTTATCATTTCGAGAAGTTTTTAATCTCCTCTATTATAAAAAAGGGATCACAGCATGAGAGATTTGCAGTATTCTTTGTAGATGTCTTCTTTATCTCTTTAATTTAAAAAAGAGATATTCCAGACTGCTAAAAAGCAATGTTTGTCAATATAAATACAGTGAACGTTTCCTTTGTAGAATAGTAGAATTGCTTTTGTACTTTTATTGGAAAAATAAATCTTAAATATATGATTCACTTATTTAAATACTTTATTCTCCTCGTTAAACTTGTGCATGAGACACAGTGATTCACTTGCAGAATTTCAGGAGGACAGAGATGACTATGACATGATCCCTTTTACTGCTGTGTAGAAAACACATTAGGAGGATGTGGAAGACATAAGAAAGGAGAGGTTAGGAGGTGAAGGTGATTGTGATAATCAGTGAGAGATTATGGTGGTTTGTATATGATAGTGATAGGGAGGGATGGCAAAAAATGAATAAGACCTACTTGATAGCACAATAGTCAGTAATAACTTAATTGTATATTTTAAAATAACTTAAAGAATGTAATTGGATTATTTGTAATTCAAAAGGTAAATGCTTGAGGGAATGCATACTCTATTCTCCATGATGTGCTTATTTCACATTGCATGCCTGTATCAAAACATCTCACGTACCCCATAATATATACATCTACTATGTATCCACAAAAATTAAAACAAAGAAATGTTTGGATTCTAGATGTATGTTGAAGTTGGCATTTCCAAAATACTTTGTCATGTCAGCTATTGGAGTTTAGAAAAAGAGTATAATCAAGAAAGACTTTTAAGTGTTTTGCTTGCACAACTGAAGGACTCAAGTTTTGAGTTACTAAGAGGAGGAAGATAGCAGTAGGGAGAGATCCTATGGGGAGGTAATCAGTAGTGGAGTATTAGACAAGCGTTATATTTAAGTTGTTTACTGGACGGCTAAGTAAAAAGGTGTAAATATAGTAATGATTCCATGTTTAATGTTTTGACAAATTGACAAATTGTTTTTCAAAGCAGCAAAGCAGCTATACTATTGTATATTCTCACTAGCAATGTATGAGGGTTCTGATATCTTCAGATCCTCATCAACACTTGTTTTCTGACTATTTTATTCTAACCGTGTTTGTAGGTGTGTGAAGTGATATCTCACTGTGATTTCTATTTGCATTTCCCTGATGACTAATGATGTCGAGCATCTTTTTGTGCTTATTGACGATTTGTATATCTTGTCATGAGAAATGTCTGTTGAAATCTTTTGCCCATTTTTAAATGGTGTTATTTGTAAGAATTCTTTATATTCTGAATACAAGTCCTTTATTTGATATATGATTTGTAAATATTTTCTTTCATTATATGTGGATTGTCTTTGCATTTTCTTGATGGTGCTTTTTTGATGCACAAAAGTTTGAAATATGTATTGAGTTCCAATTTATCTATTTTTTATTTTGCCATTTGTGTTTTTGGTGTAATATCTGAAAACCCTGTGTAATTCATGGTTGTGAAGATTTAATCTTGTGCTTTAAACCAAAAGTTTTTATAATTTTTATATTTTTTAAAATAATTTTTATAATTTTATAATTTTCACTCTTACATTTAGGTCTATAATCCATTTTTATTAATGATTGATAGGTAGGGTTTCAACTTAATTATTTTGCATGTAGATGTCCAATTGTCCCAGTACTATTTTTTGAAAAAAAATTCTTTCCCCATTGAATTTCTTTGCATTCTTACTGAAATTCAGTTGACTGTAAGCGTAAAGGCTCATTTCTAGACTCTCCATTCTAATCCAATGTTCAGATGTATATATGTTCAAGGTGTGAGTATTTTATTGCTTATTTGTGGCTTGTCTTTTTGCTATCTTTACAGAATACGCTGATGAACAGATATTCTTAATTTCAACACAGTCAAAATCATCACTAGTTTACTTCAGGTTAGAACTCTTCCTCTACTTAAATGTCATGAAGATATTCTGCAATGTCATATTCTGAAAGACTTTAGTTTTCTCTTTCACATTTGGGTCCATAACAACCGTAGAGTTGAATTTTGACCTGATATTGAGTAGAAATCCAATTTAATTTTTTTCCATATTTATAACTAATTGGTTATGGTATTACCATGAAAAAAACTGCAGCACTAACCCTTTCATAAATTGTGTCCCTATGCATGAGACTGTTTTTATGTTTGTTTTTCTGTGCCATTGTTTTTTTGTTTGTCTTTTCAATACCAGAGTTTTAATTAGTTATAGATTTATAATAACTCTTGTTATCTTCTAGAATAGGCCCTTCAAACATGCATTTGTTTAAGTTTATTGATTTTTCCAGGTTCTTTGATTTTATCTGACAATGTAGAAATCATATTGTCAATTTTCGAATACTGGTTTGAATTTCTGAAACATATTATTGTATCTACATTATCAAAGTTCCCAATCCATGAACATAGGATCTGCATTTTTTTGATGTCTACTTTACCAAAGTTTTATAAACTTTCCCACAGAAGTCATGCCCTTCTTTTGTTGGATCCCCCACCCCTAGATTCTTGATAATGTTTGATGAAAAGGAACATAAAAAATGTTATTTTGGAACACTTACAAATTTAGGTAAAATTTACATACTGTAAAACATATACAATATCAGTGTACAGCTCATTAAAATATTACATTTTTATAAATCCATGTATTTGCTTAGGTCCAAGATATAAACCAATTCCTTTCCCCAAGATCACCGTCAGTTTTCTAAAGTGATTGTGTCATCTACGCATCTACTGGTTTTAGTTCCAGTTAGTTCAAAATTTTATCAACATATGGTGCCATTAGTTTTTGCCATTGTGACAAATGTGTAGAAGTAACACATTTGTCAGGACATCATCCTGTACAGGGCTGTTCCCACCTTGTGCCCTAAGCTGCTAGGATAGTCTCTCACCATTGAAACTGAAATAAACAAGTTGGAAAATGAATGAATGAATGAAGACAAATTATTGAAAAATAAAAATTGTAAAGGATATAAAATAAAAATGGTAAAAGATCATATAAATGCACAACAACAGACAGTGTGGTCCAAAAGAGCTCAGCAAGACCATCACATTAATTATTGTTTGTTTTTGAACTGCATGGTGGTAGGTCGGAGGTGCTCCTTACAATTTTTGTTTTGCAGACATTTACATTTTGATCTAACCTACCACCACCATGACTGCCATTGCTCATTGACTCACCAAAAATTGGGTAAATGATTTTCTTATTTGTTTTTATTAATCTTTCTTAAATTTATGTATAGCTTACATTTATTTCAATGTTTTCGTGACCAGAAATATGCCATGGGAACTTTACACTTTTTTTCTTCTATCAATTAGCCTATGGTAAAATTGGTTTTGTTATACGTCCTCTTGCTCAAAGTCAGTTTCCAAGAATATAATCAAGACATTAAGTGAGGACTTGCTATATATTATTAGCTGACACTGAAATTTTGTGTTAAAGTATGTTGAAATCCCCTTGAACTATTTTCTTTTAAATTTTATTTATGTATTTATTTTAGAGACTAGGTCTTGCTCTGTTGTCCAGGCTGAGTGCAGTAGAATGATCATAGCTCACTACAACCTCAAACTCCTGGACTCAAGCCATCCTCCCGCCTCTGTCTCCCTAGTAGCTATGTCTACAGGCATGTGCTACCATGCCTTGCTATTTTTTTTTTAATTTTTATAGAGACAGAGTCTCACTATTTTGCCCAGGCTAGTCTTGAACTCCTGGCCTCAAGGGACCCTCCCACCTTGGCCTTCCAAAGAGCTGGGATTATAGGCATGAACCACTGCACGTGGTTCCCCCAAACTTTTTCATAGCACTATGTTTTAGGAGTATTTTTTAAGCACCTGTTTTATCTTAATTTTGAATTTTTAAATTTACTTATTTTCTGCTTAATGCCATCTTCATGTAATTTCAGTGGGAGTAGGCTCCTTGCTATTGTCTGTGCTTAAGTTCCCAGTATGTAGAAAAGCTCTTGGCACAGGGGAAATGAAAAAGCTCTTTGCTGAAAGAATATCTTTGGAGCAGAGCTCAAGGAATAGCACGGTGAGGTCTGATTCCTTTATATATATTACTTAAGTCTATGATTTTTGATTTTGAGTCTTTTATTTTGCAGGATAAATTAGTTATTTTTTGATGAGTGGTAAGGGGTGTGATACCATTGGTAACACACATTTGGTAAAAACAGAGACTTAACAGTTAGCCAAGTCAAAGGAAAAATAACCTTGACTGTTATAGGTGAGTCTTAGAAAAATGAAATAAAAGGTAGCAATAAATTATATGCTTGCAAGAGAGATTTGTTAGTAAAAGCAAAGCAGTTAACATCCCAAAGTCATTTGTTATTCATTTCTGTTAGTGTACATGATGTAATCCACAGATGCTATCATAGTAGGACCAAACTTCTGAGTAAGGAGTATTGAGTAAGATTTTGATTTGTTAGAAGTATACAAGTCAGTATTTTGTAGGGAGATGTTTCAGGATTCAAAAATTTGAATATATACGATATATAATGACTCAAAATTTAAAGTAAAAGTTTCATTAATTTGATTTGATTGCCCTCCAAATTATCTCCACCCTCCTCCCCACACACCCACACTATTACTAATAGACACAATACTATTGTAGAGAGAGTAAGTGCTACACTTTCTCCTTTGTATTTCCCAGACTTCCTGGCAGGTAGTGTGAAGGCATATGTCTAGTTCTGGCCAATGGGCTGTGATAAGTTGTGTGTGCCATTCAATTGCCATTGAATACAGCAATTCAATAAGAATTGGTATTTTCCCCTATCTCTCTCTTACTCTGATATGGAACTTTGGAGGTGATGTGTTCAAGAGGTAGCACATGAAATTCATACATTATACCTGCATTAGAATATGAAGTGATGTGAAGAAGAAATAATCTTATATCATATATGACACAATATTTTGAGAACTATCTATTACCATAGCATGAGGAATCTATACAAATAATACAGTGATTATTGATTTATGTCTGAATAATGGTACATTTGACAAATGCATGTACACAGAATTCTTAAAATGAGATACTAAGAAAAATAAGCGTGTTACCCCTGGAAAGCATAATGCTGATATGCAATTTTATAATACCAGGTCACTTTCATGAACTAGACATTTACTTGTTTATTTGTTGCAAATATATTATCTCACTTATTACTCCATAATCTAGTAACACAAAGAGAAAATTTGGGTACCTCAACGACATCAGCTACTGCAAGCATTTAGCAGTTTCTGTCACCTGCTAACAACGTGATTTCAGGCAAATTAGCCCTTTGCATCTCATAAATAAAATGAGATGGACAATACTAATGACTCTTGTAAAAATTATATAAGTGTTAGTTCAGATAAGAATGCCTAGAAAACAGTAGAAAATTAATATTTGCTTTTGAGAGTTTATTTCTGCTGATCGGTAGAAGGGAAAGTTGATGCTAATATGTATCTGAAAGCATGCTGAATCTGGAATTTCATTTTTATTTATGTGTTAGATTAAAGAGCTAGGATAAAAATGACTATTCTTTCATTCTTAATTATCTTTTTTATGGTTTTATTTATGTAATAAAGAGTTTTATTAGAAGAGAAACTGCTGATTTTTTTTAAATCTTGGAACAATAATAATTATATTTATCACATGCTTACTGTTTTACTTAATTTCATATGATACTTAAAATTCTATTGGTCTATACTAGTGTTATCTCCACTTTACAGATGAGAAAATGAAGGCATATGGAAAGTCAGCAATTTCCTTGGATGACCTTTGCTACTAAGTGTTGATCCTGGGGTATGGGCCCACTTGATCTGACTGCGGCATCTGGTATTTTGTATCCACAAAATTCTATTGCCTACCACAATTATTTTGTCTGAATTTAATACTGTATTTATCAGAAAATTATTCCAGAGTGATCCATCACATTCACAGGTAAATTTTAAGTTACCTTGTATTTATTAAAAAGATGATTAAAAAATGAAGATCTGTTGTATGCCAGAGGATTCAGTGAATTTTCTTCTGAAGGTAGGTGTTCAAAATGATCATCACTTAAATCAAGGTCACTTAAGTTCTAAGGATAAAATAGGCAAATGAGAAACAAAATGCCTGTGTTGATGATGAGAATGGCATTCTGACTCCTGCCTTGCTGATTTCAGTTCTGGAAGAATGTTTTGAATATATTCTTTCAATGCTCACCAGGATTTGCTACCAGTTCTTTTTTACATGAAGACGTGCTAAGTTTTTCATATAACCTTCCTTGCTTTACTCA
Source organism: Homo sapiens (assembly GCF_000001405.40). Classification (NCBI taxonomy): domain Eukaryota; kingdom Metazoa; phylum Chordata; class Mammalia; order Primates; family Hominidae; genus Homo; species Homo sapiens. The sequence continues at coordinate 213,030 of NW_013171801.1, read as the reverse complement.
GATCCCTTTATATGTTCTATAGGCAGTGGGTAAGCAGGATAAAAACTCCCACCCTGACTTTTCCAGAAATTGGTAAGTGATGAAGACTGTGGATGAAGAAATTCTTTTTTTTTAACAGTATTAACACTAAATTTTATTTATTTATTTTTTCTTTTTTTATTATTATTATACTTTAGGTTTTAGGGTACATGTGCACATTGTGCAGGTTAGTTACATATGTATACATGTGCCATGCTGGTGCGCTGTACCCACTAACTCGTCATCTAGTACTAGGTATATCTCCTGATGCTATCCCTCCCCCCTCCCCCCACCCCACAACAGTCCCCAGAGTGTGATGTTCCCGTTCCTGTGTCTGTGTGTTCTCATTGTTCAATTCCCACCTATGAGTGAGAATATGCGGTGTTTGGTTTTTTGTTCTTGCGATAGTTTACTGAGAATGATGATTTCCAATTTCATCCATGTCCCTACAAAGGACATGAACTCATCATTTTTTATGGCTGCATTAGTATTCCATGGTGTATACGTGCCACATTTTCTTAATCCAGTCTATCATTGTTGGACATTTGGGTTGGTTCCAAGTCTTTGCTATTGTGAATAATGCCGCAATAAACATACGTGTGCATGTGTCTTTATAGCAGCATGATTTATAGTCTTTTGGGTATATACCCAGTAATGAGATGGCTGGGTCAAATGGTATTTCTAGTTCTAGATCCCTGAGGAATCGCCACACTGACTTCCACAATGTTTGAACTAGTTTACAGTCCCACCAACAGTGTAGTAGTGTTCCTATTTCTCCACATCCTCTCCAGCACCTGTTGTTTCCTGACTTTTTAATGATTGCCATTCTAACTGGTGCGAGATAGTATCTCATTGTGGTTTTGATTTGCATTTCTCTGATGGCCAGTGATGGTGAGCATTTTTTCATGTGTTTTTTGGCTGCATGAAACAGTATCTCCTATCCCTACTGAAGAATCTCTCAACTCCTCTGATACCTCTCAGAATGTTTCATGGCACTAGGTAATATATAATAATGGTATAATTGCAGAAACATCCTTGGAATAGAAATTTCTTTTTTAAATGAGGAAAGTCACTAATTATCCCTGTAACTAAAATGTAGGATATCCATGCACTTGCTTTGGAAAGGATGTCTGTATTGTTTTATACTTCTTATTGTATTTTATAATAACTTCATAGATTCATTTTAGGCTAAATAATTCTTGTAGAGGAATATATTTCCTTGTGCAGATCTGTACAAAGATTACATGACAGAAGATGTCTTCTCACTGGATTGCCACAGCAAAAGTGGAGAAGTTTGGTACTTTAAAATATCACTGGTGTATTTCTACACTGCATGTACCATTGGTCCATTATCTGGTTATATAATAAAAATAAGTAAATTAACATTTCAATCAAGGAAAAGCATCAAAACATGAAGGTAGGATTTAGCATTCATGTTGCCCTTTTACACACTCTGATTTAAATTCCAGCCCTTAAGTTACAGGAATTTACTTATTGTATTTTCTCTAGATACAGCTTAATAAGAAATGGAGGACGCTATTTTCTTACTTTATATTAAAAATTTTAAAGTTAATGAAGATACTGTTAATATTACCTTAAATTTTTTGATAGTGACCATAATTATTACACCAATTTTCATAAAATAATTTTTGAGAGTTAAGAATTGGGATACACACATGTGGAATTAAAAAACATAAAGCATTAAAACATACTTAAATGTAAGAATGTTATGGTGCTACCTCTTCACTGAATGAATCACAGTTGCATCAAACATCTCCCCACTAAAAACAAGAAAAAAAGTGACTTACTTCAGTTAGTTATTTCAATAATATTTTAATAATGTTTGCTATTAGAATCCATGGTTATTCGTATTCAAAATGGTTAGAGAAAATGTTCTTATTGGTGTCATACTCATATATGGATTTTGTAACTTATCGACATATGTAGTCATTTAAAAAAGATTATCCATTGTGATATTGGTGGAAAATAGTATTTTCTCTTATAATTTTTTATTTCAGTTTTGGGTTAAGATTTTTACTATGCATGCACATGCACACATATATACATACACACATATATGCATGTGATAATATAAATAATGAAAAGTTTTATTCAGGCTACTTGCAAAGGTCTGAGATAAGGCCTATAATTAACTTAAATTAGTCTATAAGTTCTATAGCATAATGTAGGAAATATAGTTTACTTTTTAGTCAAATAAAATGTGATATATTTGATCTTTCATGGCAAACATCAATTAAAGTGAAACTATGAATACATTCAAAAATGTGAAAAGTCTCAGAAATATAAATGTTGAGTAAAAATAGTAAATTGTGAAATGACATACCATTTATTATATGTCTTGTTTATATACATTTTTAAAACTCATAAAACTCTTTTATATATTAAGTGCCACATAAATGCATACTAAAATTTTAGAAAAAAGCCAGGGAATTATACACACAAACTTATACCTCTTTGAGGTCCTGACTTTCTGGCCACAAAAGAAAGAAATAGAAGAAAGGATGTATAGTGGGCCATCTGGCAATCACTGGAGAAGTATAGTGGTTGTTGCAGTTGATACCAGTGTGAAGGTGTGAACATTTCTTAATCGTAAATGCGAATAGTTACCTGTCTGTAGAAAGTAGCACTGAATAAGAATCAGTCACCTTCTGTAAGCAATGACATTATATCATTTTCCAGTGGCTAAAGGGAACGCTATACAGTAAAGAATTATGTAAGATGGATATAAACACACATACAAAACTCTGCAAATGTATCTTAATATCGATCAAAAGATATGACTCAAAATAATTTCGCAGTAGCATTTTTCTATAAAAAGCTCAAAAATAGGCAAAAGTGAACAATATTATTTTATAGAATACATTAGAGGTGGAAAAATCATTTTTAAAAGTAGAATGAATTACCCTAATCCACTAAGTAGTTTTTAACTCTACAGATAAGGAAGAAGGTGGATTCATAAAGCGACATTAAACAATACATGCAGTGATGGAAATGTTTTATAATTTAGTGTGAAATTTCCAGATGGTGGTGGTTACATGTATGTTTTCTTTTGGATTATTTATGATAATACAAACTTGTATGTAGTATTTTGAATGTGTCATAGACCTTACCAAAAATAGTCTTTAAAATGTATAATTAACAACATTTTTGACTAATTGAATGCAATAAATGGAAGACAAAGTAATTGAGGAAGTTCCCAATCTTCTGGTTTGGATGACTTTTCTGTGTCTCAAAGCTGATGCCTGTTTACTAACAACAGTTTGTTTTCCACAGTGGAAATTACCTCAATTCAAATGTTAGTGTTTACCTTTCACTCAATCTAACTCATCTCAATGTAGTCAGGAGGAAAAAAATGAACACTAAAAACAAAATATTATTGTAGTGATAGACTTAAATTTCATACTTTCACAACTGACAGAGCAGAACATTTCACAGTATCTTGTAGTAAAAGCAAAAACTGTAAATGTTTCTCATGATAAGATGTCATGTTTATTTTTAAAATTCCAAAATTTTCTTGGAATAAATTCTTTCTTTTACCCCATGAAAAACTTAACAAATGACTACATTCTAAATGTGATACTAAACACCACATAATGTACCATTAGCAATTATAATTTGCTAAGACTTTGTAGCCTCTTGATATTTCTATTTCGGTTCATCTTCATCTTTCTGTTGTTTCTTATACAGTCATATTTACAAATTCTTCTTTAAGTCTTCAATTCACACAAAAAGCCTGAATTTTGACAACATAATCATTAAAATTGACTATCATGTATGATTACAAATTTATCATTAAATATTTAGAAGTGAATATTGCATGTATCTGTGAAAGACAGATACTATAATAGTTTCAGATTATTGGCTAAGTCAAATTAAAGTTAGATCCTACTTGGCTCTAGAAGATGGAAGCAAACATCTCAAGTTAACAATTTTACTGTCTAAGAAAGTTTCTCATTTTTTGAGACCATGTCCTCATGGCTATACATAACAGTAATATTCTGATCCAATGTAGGATATAGGGAAAAATACAAAATTATTTCAAAATAAAAATATGTTGAATGTTTGTAAAAATTTTTTCTTCCTTCATTCTTTGTTTGTTACTTCATTCTTTCTTCTTTTCTTTCCTTCCAAAAATATTCACTGGTCACTGAATATGTCCCAGGCATTGTTATAGGCCCTGATAAAGTGCTGAATAAGACACAGAAATGCCTGTTTTTATGGAGCATATATTTTTGTGGAGATAAGATGAGGGCAACAACAAAGACAATACACAAATAAATAAAAAGGTAAAAAGCAGTAATAGTAACTTCTACAAGGAAAAGAAGTCAGTAATAGAACAAAAAGCACTGGGTTGCAGAAGAGGGATTTATTTAGATAGAGTGCTCAGGGAAGAGTATTCTGAAGCAGGATTTCTATATGAGACCCCCGAAGTAGAAAAGCAGTTAGTCATTCATACATCAGGGCAAAGGTTCTTGGATAAGATCAAAACCAACATATTTGAAAAAGGAAAAAAAAAAAAAAGCTGCTGCATGAGGAGCATGGGGCAAGATGGAGAATGATAGGGAATGAAGTTAGAAAAGTCATTAGTTAGACAAGGTAAGTCTTGTGTCCTTGGAGAGGTGTTTAGAATATATTCCATTTTAAAAGAGAAAGTATCAGAGGCTTTTCAGAGATCTTATCTGAATAATGTTTGGTTTAACATCTGATTGTGACTGCTCAGTGGATAATGCATGTGTGTATGTGATCAGGGTGGAGGAAAAGTGGAAGCAGGTAGACTGGTTAATAGGCTATTCTGGCAGGGCACGGTGGCTCACGCCTGTATTCCCAGCACTTTGGGAGGCCGAGGCGGACAGATCATGAGGTCAGGAGATCAAGACCATCCTGGCCAACATAGGGAACCCCTGTCTGTACTAAATTACAAAAAATTAGCCAGGCGTGGTGGCACACACCTGTAATCCCGGCTACTCAGGAGGCTGAGGCAGGAGAATCACTTGAACCCGGGAGGTGGAAGTTGCAGTGAGCTGAGTTGGCACCATTGCACTACAGCCGTGCAACAGTGTGAGACTTCGTCTCAAAAAAAAAAAAAAAAAAAGAGGCTATTCCTCCATTTCTGTTAGGGATGACAATAGCTAGAGTTGGCTAGATGCAGTGGAGAAGGTTAGAAGTATTAGGATTTGGGGGTATATTTTTTGAAGTAAATCAAATGACAATTGGTGATGAATTGATTGTGTGCTGGCATAAAAGAGAAATGAAAAACTGTAGATGTCACATTTGAACTGTCCATTAAGTCATGGATAGCATAGTTCATTAACATGTTGTTTACCATAGGTTAAACACAGATGTTTTACTGTTTTGTGACAAAAAGTTCATTGACTACAAAATATGTTTGTTTAGGAAAAAACCTATTGCACTCAAAACCAATACTAACATCATCCTATAGTAGCTGTATAATCAGACTCCAGGCTAGGCTGAATGATTGCCATTTCAGTCCTCCATAGCGTAGTTTTCATCCAGACCTTATCACCATTGGTCTAAATTATCTATTTTATTTATTTAATTATCAATGTTTTTTCAATATAAATTAAGTCCAAGGAAAAACTACCACAAACAAATCAATGTAGTGAGATGAATACTCTGAATACAACAGAATGAAATAGTCTTTGGAAAAGAAAGAAAACTTTTGTAGATTTCACTTATTTCTGCATCAGTATCTGAAAGAAGAAAATAACATTGGTTCAGTATAATAAAATGACCAAATGACTCACACTTAAAGCAAAATTATTTTTCTTGATTTATGATTTTAATGTTATTTCAAAAAGACCATAATGAATGGTTATCTACAAATTCATGCTATTTGGCAAAATACTAAATACAAATGCTACAGAATATATGAAACTATTATGTGTATCTAATATCTTGAACTAATTCACTAGCCAATTGTTCATTTAACATAAAAGTAAAATAAATGAAAACCAAAGAATATAGCAATAGTCAAGGTTTAACTAAAAATGGATATCTTTTAGTTTCTTTGGCAATGGCTGCTGTAAAGAGGTATCACCAACAATAATAAATACCATCACATTTGCTTTTCAATTCTACTTTAGCTAGTGATGTCACCTCAGAAATAACTTTGATTTGGCTGACAGTCAAAGCCTTGTCATTTACCTGTCTGGTAAACATTAAAATTGGAACATCTTTGAGAAGGGATGAAGGAGAAGAACCTGAAATTAAGATGGCCAAGTTTCTTGCTTATCCCCTGATCAGATGACTAAGACACAGTGAGTCCAGTTGAGCTGTTTGTTTGTGCCTTTGGGTGGTACAATGTAGGGACAGGGAGACTTCAGGTCTAAATTGTTTGTTTTCTAAAACAGTAGTTCTTAATATGGGGTAGGATGGTGGCTGAAGGGATAGCATACAGAATAATCTGTAAGAACTTAAACAATGCCTCTTTCTATGTATAGTCCAACCCTCTTTTCCCACGTTAAAGGTTTTTACCTATATTAACTACTGTTAATTTAAAATCTTCAAGTCATAATCAATTTGGATCAATTTAAGGAGGAACTCGCTATTTGTTCAAAAGTAGCCTGAGTTCCTTACGCAAGACATGAGTTAATAGTTTGAAAGGTTCTGAGGCACAAACTACCAGTGCTTCTCTAAGCTCCACTTTCTCATTTTCATGTAGTAAAAAATATAATACATTCCAAGGTAGCTTCAGATTATGAGATTTAACCTCTTTATCTATAATTTCTAAATTATATTATCACATATGACTTACAGAAATGAACCCATGGTACTCTTCTAGAGAATTTCACTGATTTGCCTAGAAAACATTAAAAAAAAGATCTTTTCATAAACAATCAAATGTACTTTATTTCATAGTATTGGGCCTATCTTTTCTAAATAACCTTTCTTCTCTGAGAAGTTGTGTTTTGCTGATCTCTTCTTAACATGTTTAAAATATTCTATACTGCTACTAGATTTAGCTTTCTGAAACAGAGAACTGGTTGAATCACTCCTCTCAGTGAAGGTCCCTAATAAATTGCTTTGGCTACAGGATGAAGTCCAAGGTATTGAGCAGTGTTTTCAAGGTCCCTTCTTATCAGGTTCTATTTCTTTTTATCTTCACTTTCTATCATTTCCTTCTACTGTCATGTGAACCATGAGCTACAGGTATATATATATATATATATATATATATGTATACGTGTATATATATGTATGTGTGTATATATATATATATATATATATACAGTGTTCATAATACCCCAGCAGATGGAAAGTGCTTGTGTCAAATCTACTGAATGAACATATTTAATGTGTGAAGCATTGGAAGCATTGGAGAACAAGCCTGGCTCATCATACCTCTCTAGAGAAGCTGCAAACACCATTGAATGTAACCCCTTGGTGAATATCTTAAAAGAAAAAGAGTTCTTATCTCCTTCTAGGTAACAACTACTAGAGCTTTCCAAGTGGTGGCAATGTGCTGCATAAATAATTCATTGGTGGATTTAAACTTCCATTTGTTTTTAGCCTCTTGCCAGGGTTCAGAGTATCTTCTATGTAGTTCAGAATCATGGTTTCCCTTTGGTAAAATAGCCTAATTCCTTGGGTCATATCTACTAAAATTTAGGGACTAGCTGCTTCTTACATTTTTTTTTTTGTCTGAAAACAATTGTTTTTCTAAAAGTTTAGTAAACTTCGCTAAAGCTAAAGTTCAAGATGAATAATAGAAACTGCATTTACTCTCTTGCTCAAAACAAAAATAATGTGCAAACATGAGAAGAAAAATGAGAAGGAACAATTTTTCAAGATCTAAATATCAGGCTGTGTAAAATAGTAATCACTAAGAGACAGGAAGCAAGGTAGGTGGTCTCTATGATTGTCCTAGCATACTGCCTGGAGTGAGTTTCCATGGCTTGGTGCAAGGGAAAACACACACACACACACACACACACACACACAGAGAGAGAGAGAGAGAGAGAGAGAGAGAGAGAGAAAGTCCCAGAAGATTCTCTGAGTTAAGTAGATGGAGCCAGGAAGGTCAAGATAGCTGACGTTTACAGGCAGAGTACCTGATGGGAAAACAGGCCACAAAGATGTAGATACAAAGATCTAGATATCTGTGTTCTCACTTATAAATGGGAGCTAAGCATTGAGCACACATGTACATAAATATAGGAACAAGGAACACTGTGGCCTACTAGAAGGTGGTGGTTAGGGCTGGGTTATAAAACTACCTCTTGGGTAGTGTGCTCACTACCAGGGAGAAGGGATCCATTCTCTAAACCTCAGCATCACACCATATTCCCATGTAACAAATCTGCATATGTACCCCATGTAATCCCTGTATCTAAAATAAAAGATGAATTTTTTTTTTAAAAAGAGGATATGCTCACATTTCAATGAGTATTGATTAATTATATGAAGATATGACCTGAGGTCAGGTAGAGAACTACCTGAAAGGACAGAATAGAACAACAATTGGTACTCACAATTGGTACTAGGGCAGGAAAAAGTTCTTGATCCCACCAGCCAGAGTGAAAAACCACAAAATTCACTGGACATAAGTTTGAGCACTCAGAATAATTTGATCTCAATAAAGGAAAAATTAGCCTTGGATAAAAACATTTATCCGTTCCTGTTTAATAAAGTGTAAAAGCATACTAACCTAATAGCATTCCAGAATAAAGCTCATGAACATGTATGTCCATACACACATATATGTGTGTACTACATATACACATTATGTACACGTTGTGTATGTTATAGATATAATAATATGTGGGTACAATGTATACATGGCCTCAGGAGGAGGAGGGTATGTAGGTACATATACATGTGCATGTGTGTGTGTAAAGATATGTTAAAAAACTTAATGCTTTCCCCTAATATTAGGAACTGAGCAGGGATGTCCATCTAATCACTTTTATTTGACATTGTACTGGATGTTTAAGCCATTAAAGCATGCAATAAGTAAATAAATGCATCCAGTTTGGAAGCTAAAATCTGTTCAACAGATGAATGGGTAAATGAATTACGGCGTATCTGTATAATAAAATAATAATCTGCAAAGAACCAAACTATTAGTAAATACAACTTCATGGATAAATCTCTAAAAGTGAATGATGTCTGACACAAGAGTACATACAATATTATTCCACTTACGTAAAATTCTAGAAAATGCAAACCAATTTGTAGTGACAAAAAACAGCCCAGGGATGGGAGGATGGGGAATGTGGGATTACAGAGGAACAGGAGGAAACTTTTGACTGTAGTAGACACATTCCCCATCCTGGTAACTCTTTTCATGAGTGTATACATATGTCAAAACATATCTAAGTATACACTTTCAATATGTGTAGTTTGTGGTATGTCAATTGTATCTGAATAAAGCTGTTCAAAATATTTAAGTTGATATAGATTTGCTTGGGGAGTGGTTTTTTTTTTTCCCCTTCTACAAATCTCATTTCTCATACATTATAGTGGTAAGATATAAACAACCTACCTGTTCAAGAGAGGGAGAAGGGTGAGGTTCTGGGGCAGCAGGCTTGGCTGTAGCAGGCTCAGCTGGTGAAGGTTCCTCTGCAGCTGGCTCCACTCCAACAGGTGCCTCTGCAGCAGGCTCAGCTGCAACAGGTGCCTCTGCAGCAGGCTCAGCTCCAACAGGTGCCTCTGCAGCAGGCTCAGCTGCAACAGGGGCCCCTGCAGCAGGCTCAGCTGCTACAGGTGTGGCTGTAAGAGGTGCAGCTGCAGCAGGCTCAGCTGCAATAGGTGGGGCAGCGGGTGCTGCAGCTGCTGAAAAAAACCTTGAAGGAGGGACAAACGGGAAACCCCTAGGAGGGAGAGGAGGAACATTCAACTGAGTAGCTAAGGGAAAACCACGGATGTGATAGACATAGGGGAATCCAGGAGAAGTTAGAATCCAGGGATACGAAGGTAACCCTGTGTCAGTGTAAGTATTCCCAGGGTAACTGGGGACTGTATTCACTGGGCGATAATAAAGAGGAGGTGGTAAATTCCGTATGCCATAAGGAATATTCAGAGATGGATGAAGTGGGTGACCATCGTCATTGTCATCCTAAAGGAGAAACAAAGAAGTCGAAGTTGATTGTATTTGTCCTGTCTATATATTACTTATGGTACAACTGTGATGATATATGATAAGTAATGATATTTTGAAAGAATTCCAATGTCTTATCTTTCTTAAGTCTAGTGTACTTCCATATTTTTGAAGTAAGAAGTAATAATCTCTTAAGAAAATTGAATAAACTCCAACTGAGGAGGAAATATTTTGTGTTTAAGCAAATAAGAGTGTTATAGTCCACAGAATATGCTAACCTAGGCCAGGACAAAGATAGAAGGAAAGCACTCGCACTTTTAGGATTGATACAGGATTATGAGATTAGTAGCTCCGGGCCTTCTTCTCTGCACCCTCCATTGTCTTTCCCACTGCGCTCAGCACTCTCTGGGTCTCTAAAGTGTCCACTGAAGCCTCTGCTTCATTATTCCTCTTCCAGGTGTCCCATATTCCAGACTTATCTTTCTCAACTTCCTACCTCTCTTTATCAATGCTTCCCTTCCTTTAACACTGTGCATCTCAAATTTTCATTAAGAGGGTGAGCAGATTGGGAGGCCGAAGAGGGCGGATCACGAGGTCAAGAGATCGAGACCGTCCTGGCCAACATGGTGAAACTCCAACTCTGCTAAAAATACAAAAAAATTGGCTGGGCGTGGTGGCGGGCGCCTGTAGTCCCAGCTACTTGGGAGGCAGAAGCAGGAGAATTGCTTGAACCTGGAAGGCAGAGGTTGCAGTGAGCTGAGATCAGGCCACTGCACTCCAGCCTGGCAACAGAGTGAGACTCTGTCTCAAAAAATATATATAAATAAAAATAAATAAACAAGACAGTGAGCAGACTGGATGTAGATGTTAATGTTATTGTATATAATATTATTATTATATATAATAATATACAATACTGAGAAGTTTCTCAATAAATGTAGATTGTCCCTCAGGGTCTTTGAGATATTTTAAGGTTTTTCTTGATGGAAGTTCTGTGATTTATTTTTAAAAGTATAAAATGTGTACCTTCTCTGTGCCATCTCTGTGCTAGGGGATCCTACATACTGGAAAACAGACAAGGTTTCTTTCTTCTTGTGTCTGGGATGCTACATTCCCCAGCCAGTCAAGCTTCTTAATTAACATTTAATTTTTTTCCAATTTTAGGTAAGTTTCCTGAATTACTGAGTTAAATTTTTCTCACGAGTCATATTGCCAGAGCCCCCTGAGGTATGACATATATACATAAGTAATATATGTCCCCAGGTGTTCATAGAGGCAAATATCAATTATTTGCATTGTGGATCATAGAGCCCTAGAATCTGAGGACTTAAATATTAACTCATTAGACGAGTTAATGGGTGCAGCACACCAACATGGCACATGTATACATATGTAACAAACCTGCACGTTGTGCACATGTACCCTAAAAGTTAAAGTATAATAAAAAAATAAGTAAAATGATGCAAAAAAAAATTCAAAATAATACCTAATAATATTTCTATTTTAAAACATTATTTCCAAAAGATTTCTACTCCTTCGTTATATGTCTGATCATTGTTGGTCAAAAGTGTGCACATCACAGATTATGTCTCTTGAGCTTTCTTTGCTAGAGTGTCATGTTGATTTATGGCATACTGGTGGATAGGTGTAAGTGTAATTTTCTTAGTAGTCTTCTGTTGCCAGAAATTGAGGCACAAGTAGCAAGGAACTGAAAAAAACATCTAACATCAGTTAATCAGTATGTGCTTTGGTCTCATAGAGATAATTTATGGGTATTTGCTACACAGAAATCATCTAACTCATTGGGACACACTCCTCCTGCTAGTGGTTCCTAGCTTGAAGACACACACCTGAATATATGGCTGGCCCACTACTTCATGCTTTCTCTTGCTCTAACCCTTCATGCAGACAGAGCATCTCCAGATTCATCACTAAGTTTGTTCAAATGAACTTAGGACATACTGACAATGTATAATAGAGGCATGAGGGGAAAACCTTGGCATGGCAAAAATTTTCTTAAGCTGCAAAGGGAGTGCACTTAATGCTTTTGCTCATTAAAAAGACTAAAGACCTTTTGCTAAATATGTTGAACACAAACATATTCCATAAATATTTTCTATCAAATCGGAAGAGTTTAATAGCACTATTATTTTAAGAGCAATAGCAGTCATTAAGTTTCACTGTAAAGAAATCAGAGAGTTTTAAAATGTAAAATATATTTTAAGATAAAAACAAATATACTTGCGTGTAAAGAAAAAAAAGTTTTACCTCACCAATGAAGGGGAACCGTCTCTAAAATAAAGAAAAATATATTTTAATGCGGTTATGTATTTGAAAACATCTGCACCTACATTTCCATATTGCTGAAAAATTTGCAAAGCTTAATAATACTTATGGTTAATTTTTTTGAAATTTGAGTAACTAATATGAATTTTTTTTTATCATCGTCATCATTATCATTACATGGTTTTGACCTAAACAATTTCCTCAGGGAGTTTTACTTTGGCTGGATGGATTTTGGTTTGTAATATTCAACATGTACATAAATCTTTATCATCTGAAAGATCATTCAGCTCTCATTCATATATCTGATTTTGCTATTCACTTTTTACCTCCCAGGTTTTGTCTGGTGTGTGTGTGTGTGTGTGTGTGCATCTGTGTGTTAAAGTGTGGCCTTTGCGACGGGCGCAATGGCTCACGCCTGTAATCCCAGCACTTTGGGAGGCCGAGGGGGCGGATCACGAGGTCAGGAGATCGAAACCATCCTGGCTAACACGGTGAAACCCCGTCTCTACTAAAGATACAAAAAATTAGCCGGGCGTGGTGGCGGGCGCCTGTAGTCCCAGCTACTGGGTAGGCTGAGTGAGGCAGGAGAATGGCGTGAACCCGAGAGGCGGAGCTTGCAGTGAGCCCAGGTCGCGCCACTGCACTCCAGCCTGGCTACAGAGCGAGACTCCGTCTCAAAAAAAAAAAAACCACAAACATACAACAAAAAAAAGAGTGGTCTTTGCCACCTCTTCACAGTACCAGAAGGACCATAGATCCATTTGTTCTCCAATGAAGCTTCAATATGGTTTGTGAATTGACCACAGATTATGAACTACAGAATAAAAATAAAAAGTACAGGAAAATCATCACTTATTATTTTAAGAATTGGAGCTTCATTTATCTAATTTTAGGGAACAAAAATAATAGTTTAAAGTTTGGACAGGATGATAATAACATCAATAGCAAATGGTATCAAGTAGCAGTTGAGTTTCTACCATACCTGAGGTACTCTGCTAAGCACTTTATATAATTACCTTATAAAATCTTTAAAACAATGTTATGGTGTAGGTGTTATTATTTTCTCCATTTAAAAAAAGATAATATTTAGCATAGTCACTGGCTAGGATTAAGAATTTGCCATCAGATTTGTCTTACATTAGAGTTTCATCTACTTATGTTACACTAAAGGCCATTGCATTACACTATATTACGTTACAGTCCACTAAAGGTATGATGTGCATTTACTTCTATTCCATCAAGTATCCCTAATGTCTGTACATAAATACCTCCAGCAATGGCACTTCACAGCCATAGGAAGCCCAATCCAGCATTCTATAATTTGAAGAGATAAACTCTGTTAAGATAATCTACGTGGGATCCTGCTTTTCTATAATTTTTCCTCCTCCAGCCTCCTACATTTATGAACTTACCTCCTTTCCTTGCTGTTTATCTATTTTCAGATACTACAACTTTATTATTTTGATTTTTAAATTTTCCGTTGAAAAGTCTGACACTACAAATCTCATGTCCATCTATGTCTCTCTGCTGCTTTATTACAAACACTATAGTACTTTATCATAAGCACAAATGCCTATAAACAATTAGCAAATGGTTATACAATTGTTACAATTTTGGAAGTCCATTTACTTACCTTCCTTGCAAAAGCAACACATACAATGCAGGCCCAAAGGAGAAGCTTCATTTTGATTGACCCTATGAATATTAACACTATAAATTTATTGTTTTAGAAAATACGCAATGTATTTTTAAATTATATTTTTCTTCTTTTAGAGAGAAACGAAAGAATACATGGCTTTTTTAGTCTGTCTAGGAAGACCCTTAACAGAATAGTTGGCCCTGCTATTTAACTACTGTCTGTATACCTTAACAGGAATGTCACTAAAGCCAATATAAATATATATTAGCAGATACCGTTCAACAGTTAATTGACTTCCAACTGAAATGTCTAAAAGTAGATGTCAACTCATTTAGCTCCCCAGGGACATATTTTGCAATTAATTTATTTTGGAGGTCTTACCAGGAAATAAAATTGCTTAAATGTCACCATTCTATGGGTGCTTCTTAATGTTTTGTTTTTATGAATTCAGTGGGAGATTGGTATCACCTACTTAGAAAAATTTCTAATCTTAAACTTGATCGTAATTTTTTTTCTCTATTTCTGAAGAATAGTGGAGAAGGCATATTCTCAGGTGTGTGTCTTGATTAGGCTCAGTTTTCTTCAGAGAACCTAAAACCATTCTCCAACTGATTGATTATTAAAGTGTATGGCTTCTTATTTCTTCAAAGCCAAAATATCTCCACTTGTACCGAAAAATTGCATATACAAGGACACTTATAGCATTATTTAGAATCTCATAATGTGAAAAATATTAAATCCCAACAAAAAGTTTTGTTAAGAATAATCATATTAGGTTCATAATATATTGCTAAATGAATATTTAAATATTAAATATTGCAAAGATAAGCCATAAAGAGAATAAAATCATGTCCTTTTCAGTAACATGAATACAGTTGGAGGTCATTGTCATAAGTAAATTAATAATGCAGGAACAGAAAACCAAATATTCGTGTTCTCCCTTATAACTGGGAGCTAAACATTAAGTACATGTGGACATAAAGATGGCAATATGAGACACTGGGGAATACTAGTGGAGGGAGGAAGGAGAGGAAGTGGGCTGAAAAACTACCTATTAGGTACTATGCTCAATACCTGGGTGAAGGGATCCATCCATACCCCAAACCTCAGCATCATGCAATATACCCATGTAACAAACCTGCACATGTAGCCCCTGAATCTAAAATAGAAGTTAAAATTATAAAATAAGTAAATAAATACAAATAAATAACTAAAACAGCAAATAGAAACAAGAATAATATTCCTACTCTAGAGACTTGTAGCACTATAAAAAGAGCACCAACTTTATATATGACAGGAAACTAATTTAAAATAAAAAAGTAGTAGATAAGAACATGAGTATTGGTAAAATATTTAATGAGTTATGAATTAGAAGATCAGTTTGTTTTTATAATTATTTGTATATTTTTCTTTCATTTTCTGTAGTCTATTTTTTGTGAAGTGAGAATGTATTGCTTATATACTATGTATATTCTAGTAATATAATGAACTTCCAAGTTTTTTTTGATAAGATTGTGGATTCTTTCCTACCTAATCCTTACAAAATCTAGGCTGGAAAAAAATCATCATATTCCTCGAAACATATTTTTAATCTTGGCTAAGCTGCTTACCTGTTCAACATGGCTTTGACCACATACTGAGTGACCTTTGCTTTAGTGATCTTTGATATTGTACATCAGGTTTTCACTGACACACAATTTAATAAAAAGTGTTTCATTATCCTTTTCCTTCTTTATCTTTTTCTTGAAATAGCATGTTAAATGAGACAGACTTACCTGACCCTATTTTTCAGTTCTTCAGAAGCACATGAGGCTTTATGAACAGAACTGATCTGTTTTTTCTAGGGTTTATGTGAATTCTTGAGTCCAGTCTGAATGTAGGGAAAAAAAAATTTCTTTGCTAAGTCTTGCCTCATACAGTGTTAAAGTGAGAACTCAGGTGTGAGGTGGACTAGATTTATACAGACTAGATTGTGTCATCAATCTCTGGAAACTATGAAATAATATAAATATGCCATGCATTTACAAGTATGCTATTAAAGTCCATCTGACTGAAATCTGGTAGAAAAATTTTTATTTTTATTTTATTTTTGTTATGGTTTGTGCATTTTCTTTTTATTTATTTATTTATTTATTTATTTATTTATTTATTTTATTTAAGTTTTAGGGTACATGTGCACATTGTGCAGGTTAGTTACATATGTATACATGTGCCATGCTGGTGCGCTGCACCCACTAGAGAAATTTTTAAAATGGGAACATCTTAACATAAAAAAAAGCATACCTTGTTTCCAGGGTGCAAACTAGTGGATGCAGCTCTTGGTCTTGACGTGGACAATGTGCCTCACTCCCTTTCTTTCCAGGGATATTTATAAGTCCCTAACTTAATGTTTACTCTTTCATTTTGAAACAAATTAGCATTGACTCTGAGAAAAATAATTTAAAAACCTATGAATTTGACTGATTTGGCTGTGAATTACTTCCTTCATTTCAGAGAACCATAAAAATAGGGAAATTATTCCCATAAAATGACAATAAAGACAAATTTAGGAACTACATTAAGCTTAATTCCTAAATTGACTTTGCAAATATTCATTACTTGACTTTGTTTTGACATCAATTGGAAATTATGATGAAGAAAGGTTATGCATTACTTCATTTTATGTTAAGCATGTAATAGAATAACATAAATATATTTTTAAACAATGGTGTGGTTTCTCTTCCTGTATTAGCATTATAAACATGAATTAGCTAATGGAAACAAATATTAGAAGCTGAAAGAACCCTTCTATCCTGTGAATTTATTACTGACAACCTAACAACACTAGTAATATGTTATATCAAAGAATAATTGAGGCATACTAATGGTTGTCAGTGCACACGTCATACATCAGAGTAACGTGAAGTAATTTAGCTGGATACCTTCTTAGGTCATATACTAGGTTCAGTGTTGTTTGTCAGGAGTGACAAAATCCTTTTGTCTAAGTATTTAATTTCCTCTCTTGTGGACTAGATTAACACAACCCCCCTATACTAAGGCCCTCGTAGAAAGAAAGTGGGCTCATGTTTATCTAATGACTATACCATAAATCAGGCATTCAATAAAAAAATCACAAGACACACAGAAAGGTATAAGCAAGGTCTGAAGATTTTTAAAAAAGCAATAATCAGAACAAGAGTCAGTTGTTACACAGATGTTGAAACTCTCGAGCAGGGAATTTAACATAACTGATTATTATACTAAATATTCTGAAGAAAAAGATAGATGAGATTCAAGATCACATAGATAATTTCAGCACAGAGAAGGAAACTGTAACAATAACTAGAAATGCTATAAATAAAAATTTACTAACAGAGAAAAAGAATTCATTTGACTGGCTAATCGATAGACTTGACACAACCTAGGAAAGGATTAGAGACCCTGAGGATATGTCGTAGAAATCACCAAATTGAAACACAAATTGAAAAATAGCAAATTCTCTAACATTTGTAATCCTAGGAGAAAAAAGAGCAAAGCAGAACACGTTTAAAGAAATAGTGGTCAAAAACTTTCCAAAATTATGGGCAGAAACTAAAAGCACCAATGCAAGATACCCTGAGAACATTAGGAATAAATTCTACACACACACACACATACACACACATATACAGCATATTGTATTGAAACTGCTGGGAACCAAAGACAAAGAGAAATCTTGAAGACAGCAACAGAAAAAAAAAGACTGATTATCTACAGAAAAATAAGGTTAAGAATTACGGTATGTAATTTGCATGTCAGAAACCATGCAAGAAAGAAGAAAATAGTAAAATCTTAAATGTAATGAAATAATACTGTCAACACATAATTCTAGGTCCAGGAAATATATTCCTCAAAAGTGAAGGAGAAATATTTTCTCAGACAAAAACTGAGGGAGTAAACCAGTAAGAGAAAAAAAATGATTTGAACAACACTATCAACCAATTTGCTCTAATTGACATTCATAGATCACTCCACTGAACAACAATAGAATACACATTCTTCTGAAAGTCACATGGAACATATGCCAAGATAGACCATATTTAGGGCCATAAAACACACCTGAATACATTTTTAAAAATAGAAATAATAAGAAGTATTTTGTCAGTCCAATGTAATTAAGCTATGTGTCAATAACAGAAATATATCTTAAAAATTACCAAAAATGAGGAAACGAAGCATCATGCTTTTAGATAGCCTATAAGTCAAAGAGAATGTCTCAATGAAATTAGCAAATATTATTTTTTTTGTTGTTACAACATCCAGTCAAGATGATG
Organism: Homo sapiens; assembly: GCF_000001405.40. Lineage (NCBI taxonomy): Eukaryota > Metazoa > Chordata > Mammalia > Primates > Hominidae > Homo > Homo sapiens. Next base: position 194,714 of record NW_013171801.1, on the reverse strand, counting down.
TTTCCTGAAGTTTCCTAGCTTACTCCTTTACTCCTACCCGCATTGGTGAGGCTATGCCATATATTTATATATACTGTTGGATTTATTTGTCACAGGCTGCATTCTGTCTTAGGTTGCTGCAACATCTTGGTTTACTTCTATTTTTAATTTGCAATTAGCAATATTCACTCTTAAACCTTAAGCCTTCTATATGTTTTGGCAAATGTATGTGGTTGTATATTCACCACTACTTTATCATATGTAAGGGTTCCATCATGCTAACATTTCCCATGTGTGGCCCCTCTGTAGTAAAAAAAACAAAAAAAACTAACAATGTCTTTCCTTTCCCTCAACTCTAGCAACCACTTAGTAGTTTTTCATTCCCATAGTTTTGCCTTTTTTTCTATTTTCCCCTTATATTCATTCCTTTCTTCATTTTTTTTTCTTTTTTTCCTCCCTCCCTTCTTTACTTTCTTTCTTGTTTTCTTCTTTCAGTCATTTAAACGATAGTTTGTGAGTATTGTTATAGGCCCAGAAATATATGAGAAATGCAACCCAGTAGATAAAAAGTATTAGGTTGGTGCAAAAGTAATTGCAGTTTTTGCCATTAAAAGTAATCATATAAGGACATCATTAATATAAGGCATTTGTAATGTAAAGCTCCAAAGGCACTAGGGTTTTGTAAATGAAGAAGTTGAAAAGCTTTGTTTAAACTTAATTGATCCCTTATTTGAGAATGAAATACTAAAAAATAGGTATTGTTAAGCTCATTATTTTGTGATTAACAAGATAGGGAATCAGTAGTTTGTGTCTGACAGTTGAAAAAAGAACAGACGATAAGCATATGAGTAACTTCTTTTGTTAGACACAATCTCTCAATCCACAAACAGTGATTTTAGAAGACCGATGGAACAGAACATGTCCTGCTATTTGTAGTCATGGAAATAAGGTGCCTTTTCATCCGTGATGGACAGCTATGCTCTTGAAAATGTCAAGGGATTTAATTTACAAGAGAAACATTCTGCAAAGATATGTTACTAAATATGTTGCCATAAGTATGCAACTAATTGGCAGATTTTTATAATGTTTGTGTTTTAATATTTTCCTAATCTCCTTCAATTACAGGGAAAATATTTAGTCATATATCTATACCAGTGTGATAAACTTGAATCTGGAGCATCTTTGGCAAATTGTGAATGTTTGTGTTCTAATGGCAAAAAGGAGCTATACTAAATGTTATGTTCTAGCTTAATTTATGAAAACAAACTATTAGGCCTAAAATATATGGAATAACCTCATAATTCATCTGAATATCCGATAATGTTTTGAGTACTGGATATTCAAAGTGGAAACAATGCTCACATTTATTAAAAATAATAATGTAATAAAATAATATGTATTATATTTAATAATATAATAATAATAGTTACATTGATAATATAGCAAATTTAATAGTAAGGCTAATTGAGACAAAGATATAAATTACCCTGCACATAGCTGCTCATTCAATTTTAGGCATTAAAACTATCACGATTACTTTTGCTACAATGAACATTATCAAAAGGATAGATTACAGAGGAACTTTTTAAAAAGTCAAAAGAGCTATTAGCTTTGAACTGAAAGAAGGTCATATATCCTTTAAAACTTGAGAGAACTAAAATTGTGCTCAGATTTAGATAAAATTATTGATGTGTCCTACTAAGAAGTGGATAGTATTTATGCTCAATGGACTCAGTATTGTCTATGAAGTAGAAAGGAAAATTGTTTTCTGGTGAGATAAGTTTGAAGTTTAAGGAGAGTTAAAGGCAGTTAACACTAATGTCAACAAGAAAAAGAGTTTGATAAGATGTCTTTGGTTACCAACACAGTTTAAAAAACATAAACTTACTTAAAATTCATCTGTTTTGGTGGAATGGCAGTAGAAATCAAATTCAGAGTTTTACGTGGTTGCGTGTTTTCCAGGTAAGGTTGGCTAAGTGTAGGGGGGCAGAAAAATTATATGAGCTATCAAGATAATATTTAAAATAATGAAGCATGAAGTCTGGGCTGTGTAAGAAAGGAAGTGAGTCCAATAGAGAGTAGAAAGAATGAAATGTAATCAGAATTTTAGTGGATGGGAGTGGGGTGAATGGATTCTATGAGGAAAGATAAAAATTCTCTTGGCTTCTGCTTATTCTACCTTTTCAAAATATATGTCATATGTCAGCTTCTGAAAATCCCTTAAATGTTCAGTCTGAATAAGAAAAGAAGTAGCGCTAAGAGGAATTGGATAGAATGGAATACAATGGGAATTATAAAGGATTGACGTATTCTATGGAGTCAAAGATAAAGTCTTCAAAATTTGAAGTTTTTCACTCATCGATGACATATATCATATAATGTTACTCCCCAATGGAAACTCCTGTAATGTCTTCCCATTACAACCAAATGCTTAACAAATAACTTTCATCCCTATCCCCTCCTTCCTGATCTGCTTTCCTTATAGCTTTCCCCATCCCTCCATCTTCTCAGGACGTGCTGACTCCCTTGCAGCCCAAGTATGCCTTGGAGCCCACGTATGCACCCATGTGTTTGCTTTTGCTCTTTCTTCATTTGGTTACACCATTAATGAGGAATCTTGAAAGGTTTATGGTCTTAGTGGCTGACTCCATACTTTAGTCTGACAAGGTGGACTGAGAGAGGAGGACTGAGGGCTCTGGTGAAGGTTTGAGATTAAAATTGTGGCAAATTATAAGCATGAATAAATCAGAAAGATGGTAGAAGCATGGCTAAGTAGTTCTGTGAGCCAAGCTGTGGTGGGAGAATATAAAACTTGTAGTGTTCTAGATTATTGGTTATGATAAGTAAAATTGAAGTGTCCAGAAAGTGTATATAAAGCATTTTGGTAGTAGATAAGCTAGTTTAAAATTAATTGTTAAATAACTACTTATATTAGCATCAGTAGCCTCGGTGGTCAATATGAACAATAAAAATGCTGATTATACACCAATGAATCACTTGAAATTTTATTTTGAGGGGAAAAGAAATGTGTTTTTGTAACTCAGAAACAGTGGTAAAAACATCTTAAGTAATCATCAACCTAATGAAACCACAATGCAAACCCAACATATTCAACATTAACTCTTGGGAAGGGTATACACAATTCAGGAAATATTCTGCAGTCTTCTTTGACTCAGTATTCCCGCCTTCACCATAAGCCTGTCCAAACATGCTGGTAGTATGAAGTAATATGGTAGATTTTCCAGGCAAACCTTAAAAAAAAGGTAGATTTCCCAGGTAAATCTAAAAAAAAAAAGCAAAAAAAAAAAGCAATACTGGACTTATATATTACAGAAGATAGTTTTGGTTTATGTACAGAACACACACACTTGTCCATCTTAGTCTGGCAGAATGTTATTTATAACTATTATGAGTTAATATTTTCTCATGCTTAAGATAATTCATGGCACATAATAAGATTTTTAATAACTATCTGTGTTCATGCTTGATGGAGTCAATACAGTCTATGAGGTAGAAGGAGAAATTGTTTCCTGATAAGATAAACAGTTTAGTGAATGAGAGTTAATAGCAAGCTTATTCAATCTAGCATACAAAAATAGCATTTTTATTTATTAATGGTACATATGTATATTTTCAGCCAATTTTGAAGGAACACTTTATTATTATTGTTATATTATTATATTATTATTTTCTAAGTTGCTTATTAGGCATATAAGATATTACTGCTTCCTATAATTTAAGCCTTTTGATCTAATTGGAATGTAGATTTCGGTAAAATAATGTTTTATGTACAATGACTTTGGGGTCTTATATTTCAATAAATCATTTTAAAATTAAATTCTTCAAATTGCACTGTACATTTTTTGGCTTCTCTGTTTCTTTTGTAATTTTTCTGTCAATTCAATACCTTCTGCCTTATATTTTATCTCTGATTCATCACTTGACCTTGTTGTATTATTATATCCTTCTATCTCTAATTAGCAGTTAGCACATTATATTGTCATTTCTGTGTCTTTGTCAGAAAAGGACTTAATGAAGGTAAATGTAGTATCATAATTCTGTATCTCTCAGGTCTCTGGCATTACGGGTCATATGATAAGCTTTTTAAAAAATGTAGAATAAAGCGGGGCTCCATGGCTCATGCCTATAATCCCAGCACTTTGGGAGGCCAAGACGGGCGGATCACCTGAGGTCGGGAGTTCAAAACCAGCTTAGCCAACATGTTGAAACCCTGTCTCTACTGAAAAAAAAAAAATACAAAACTAGCAGGGCGTGGTGGCGGGCGCCTGTAATCCCAGCTATTCTGGAGGCAGATACAGGAGAATTGCTTGAACCCAGGAGGTGGAGGTTGTAGTGAGCCAAGATCGCGCCATTGCACTCCAGCCTGGGCAATAAGAGTGAAACTCCGTCTCAAAAAAAAAAAAAAAAAAAGTGGAATAAATATGTGAATAATGACAGTAAAAAAGGTTACTATTTATAAAACACAACTGTATTTTTAGCTCTTATCCATAACAATTATGGTATTATTTTTGTCACATGAGATTACTTTGTGAAGTTGCCTGACCCTTTTTCATTATTAGGAAGGCCAAAATAACATAATAAAGAAAATCAAGTTTGTAACAATGTACTCAAAGTCAGAAAATATCCTCTCAAAAAAACCTTAACGTGGCCTTTCGGGTGCAGTTCGGCATTGGTGGAAGAGCGTTTGAGCCCTTGGGCTGGAAATCTGTATTCGATTTTTTTTTTGGCTTTTTTATTTTCTCAGGATTATCATGAGCAATTTATTTAACCTCCATTCCACCTCAGGTTCTTCATCTCAAATCAACTGATACTTTGATTATGGCCATTCTTGCAGGAATAAGGTGGCATGGCATTGTGATTTTGATTTGCATTTCCTTGATCATTAGTGATGTTGAGCATTTTTTCATATGTTTGTTGACCATTTGTTTATCTTCTTTTGAGAATTGTCTATTCATGGCCTTAGCCCACTTTTTGATGGGATTGTTTGTTTTGTTCTTACTGGTTTGTTTGACTTCGTCGTAGGTTCTGGATATTAGTCTTTTGTTGGATGTATAGATTGTGAAGATTTTCTCCCACTCTGTGGGTTGTCTGTTTACTCCGCTGACTGTTCCTATTGCCATGCAAAAGCTCTTTAGTTTAATTAGGTCCCAGCTACTTATCTTTGTTTTTATTGCATTTGCTTTTGGGTTTTTTGTCGTGAAATCCTTGGCTAAGCCAATGTCTAGAAGGGTTTTTCCAATCTTCCAGAATTTTTATAGTTTCAGGTCTTTGGTTTAAGTCCCCATCTTGATTTGATTTTTGTGTAGGGTGAGAGATGAGGATCCAATTTCATTCTCCTACATGTGGCCAGCCAATTGTACCAGCATGTCCTTTGTTGAAAAGCATGTCCTTTCCCCACTTTATGTTTTTATTTGCTAATCAAAGAATCAAAACAGTAGATGTTGGCATAGATGCGGTGATCAGGGAACAATTCTACACCGCTGGTGGGAATGTAAACTAGAACAGCCACTATGGAAAACAGTGTGGAGATTCCTTAAAGAACTAAAAGTAGAGCTACCATTTGATCCAGCAATCCCACTACTGGGCATCTATCCAGAGGAAAAGAAGTCATTATTTGAAAAAGATACTTGCATACGCATGTTTATAGCAGCACAATTCACAATTGCAAAATCGTGGAACCAACCCAAATGCCCATCAATCAACGAGTGGATAAAGAAACTGTGGTATGTATATCTGATGGAATACTACTCAGCCACAAAAAGAATGAATTAACTGCATTTGCAAGAATGTGGATGAGATTGGGGACTATTATTCTATGTGAAGTAACTCAGGAATGGAAAACCAAACATCGTATGTTCTCACTGATATGTGGGAGCTAATCTATGAGGATGCAAAGCCATAAGAATGATATAATGGACTTTGGGAACTTGAGGGGAAGAGTGAGGCGGGGATGCATAAAAGACAACAAATACAGTGCAGTCTATACTGCTCGGGTGATGGGTGCAGCAGGATCTCACAAATCACCACTGAAGAACTTACTCGTGTAACCAAATACCACCTGTACCCCAATAACTTATGGAAAAAAAATCAGCTGATAGTATTAACTACTTCATAGGTTTTTTGTGAACATTAAATTAGTCAATACAGGCAAGGGCTTAGAATTGTAATTGGTGCACTATATGCTCTTGATAAATTATTATTACTATTATTATTCATTGTTTTGAAACCTACTTTGTCACGTTAGAAATTTGCGTTTGGGACATATAAAAAGAGCAAAACGTTTGAATTAAATGAGACAGAATTCTAGGATAGGAGATAAACCTGAATGCTGTAAGAGCAAAATAAGAAAAATAAAACATGACTACACAAAGGGCATTACAATTTTCTTGAGTTGCCACCATGGTTCTGAATCCATTGAATAAATTGTCAAAGAGAGAAATTTAAAAAATAAGCAATTTTTTTTTGTAGAAAACATTAATTTTTCCAGAGAAAATGATGCAGGAAATTTGTCTTAAATGGCTTGAATTGTGTATGAAACTCTCTTGATATTATATATCTTTTCTCAAACCAAAGAGCCAGGTCTGAATTTCTTGGCACAACTCAAAGATGACAGGAAATCACCTGTGTGAACACTATGCCTGTGACAATTTTCACTCAGAGTCATTCCTTCTGGCTTGAATGTATCATTAGCTTTGGAGGAAATGTACTATAATTTATATTTAAAATATTTATGAAATATGCATGCAAATTACACAGACAACTTACATTTGTGAGTCAAAAAGATGAAAGCAAAATTTAAAACACTTTATAAATGAAAATATGATTTAATTAAAGTTGGAAGTATATTACTTAATAATATTATTTAATATCACTTTCTTCACATAAAAGTTATTGCTTAAATTCTAGGGGGAAAGGCACTTACCAAAGTAAAGTAGGAGCAGTTAATTCAAGAATCTTAAAGATCCCTGTTTGAAGAGAAAAGAGAAAAAAATGAATAATTTTATTTAAAAAATGTATAGGAACAAATCTCCATCTCATATGCAAATCAGAGGTACTAAATTCTGATTTTTCTAAAATTATATGGAAGACACTTTTAAATGCTACATGCATATCTAAAAAACTAAATCATATTAAAAAATTCCAGAGAAATGATGTGACTTGCCTATGTTCAAAAGCCTATTTATATTAGGTCTTCTGATTCCAAAACCCATGTTGTTTATAATACATTTTAGTTCTGTGGGTTCAATGTCCTGTTCTCTCATTCATTCTTCATGTTAGAAGAAATGTTCCCTAGGTCAAATCTCTTTTTTTTTTTTTAAATAAGATAAAGGATAAATGTTAACTAGAACTTGGTCCAGCTACTTTTTACAATTTCATCTACTTTTGTAACATTATTATTTTTATTTATTATGCTGTATTTGCATATGATTTATTATTTAATTTTTAGCTTAGGCATTTTTATTTGTTTCAACTTCTACTTGAGTTTATTGGGATTATGTCAGTTTCATCCCCCTAGCTTACTTTTAGCACAACAGATAACTATTTTTAAGTTGCAAATAAAAAGAGAGCACTCACCAGAGTGGGGATAACTTGGTAAGCATTTGTCTTCATGTTTTTCCATGGTTTCATAATTTTGTGATATTGATAAACAGCTTTTACATATTGGGGCAAGGTGAACTGATAATACTGGTTGATTTTGTTCTAGAAAAATATATAAAGAATTATCTCAATATCCCAGAATCAGAGAGACCTGAACATAACCAAATAAATCAAAACTCTATTTGGATAAATTCTACATTTTACCAAATGAACTTAATTAAAGGAAAATTTATTCATACAAAATTAACTCTATGCTTACATTTACAGAATTAACTGTAGAAGTAAGAAAATTATTTGGTTAATTCAGACCCCAAAGCCACAGTGCTTGTGTGAAAGAAATCAAAAACAAGGAAAAATAAAATTAAAAATACATGTAAGAAGGCAAGAAGATAATTTCTTGACTAAGATAAGTGTCCCCAGTTGTGGTTTATTTTCTGTTTCTGGTAGGAAAACGCTGGTCCTCAGAGTCATATAGAATATGTGATTTAACTTAGTGGAATCTATGACACTGAGCCAGTTAATCTCTCTGAGTGTTATTTATCTTGTAGAAGTAAATGAATTAATATGGAAAGAGCACTTTATTTGTATAATGCATCCCATATACTTTATTATGAGTACATATGCCCCTCTTCTATGTTCTATTTATCTATATAGATTTAGCCACAGATTATTGTAGGGATTTAAATTGGAATTAAATACAGTGGCATCTTCTTTTAAGCTAAGTTCTCATTTTTACAAAGTGGAAAATCAATGGAATTTTACAATTGCCATGGAATAATTGTTGGGTGGATACTTAGCAATAATATAAGTGGTACAGTTGGGGAATCATTCTGTAACCATTTTTAAAACTATAAGGAAGGCTTTTATAAAAATTAGAACTTGGTAAACATAGTATTTTTTTTTTTTTGTCAAGAGGATTGCAACTAGGCAGTTTCCAAGTAAAGTCTAATTGTGCTATGTTTGTATGGAAAATTTACCAGATGTTTTTGGTCATTCTTTTCTTCTTCAGTCAGCTCAGTTTTCTGTTAATAACAAAAATAAATGGTCATAAAATACAGAAGAAAATGTTTTGAGATTATATTTTATTAATTTTGTTTGAACAAAACTTACTTACCTTGGTGAATACTTCAGTTGATTCCTTAGGGAAAGAAAATGAAAAAATAACCTCACTTGGATAACCCAATAGTAATTTTTGTCCATATCATAATAATATAGAATTAAGGCTAATTATTTTAATAATTCAGGGCCAAGCTGTTACTACCAAGAAACAAAGTCCTACTTTATAGAAATCTATTCTGAATTAAATGAATGTAAGTATTCATTAAAAGGACATGTCCTGTGTCAACATAATGGTACCTGACTGAAAATACATTTTATTTCATATTTTCCATTTACCTACATGTTCATATAATGTCAAATTTCTGTGTACTATGGGCAGATGCAAAAGAGAGAGAGAGAGAGACAGAGAGAGAGAGAGGAAAAATAATTAAGCCTACTGAGGTGTGTGGCAAAGTCTGCATGTTCTTTCTTGGAGGACCAATGTTTTTTATATTAGTGTCCATAGGCCCACAGTTTGAGGTGGAGAGAAAGGGTAAAACATGCTTCTCAAGGCACTAAGAAGGAAGATCTTGCTTGCTTTGGGCCCTAGGCCACAAGATCCTGTGCCACAATTTATACTTCATATTCTGAAGACCCTTTCCAATTGTGCTCTCCCACTTGGCACTTTCTCCCACAGTGGGTGTTCCCTGAACCTGTGATTTACATAACTTATAACCCAGTCCAGTATTCAACTCCTAAACGATATTAAACTACAGTGAAGGCAACTGACAGAATCCTGATTTGGCTGGCTTATTTTAAAAATTCATTTTTCCAATGTAACAGAGTTCAGACATATATTATCCGAAAGTGTGTGATAGAACAGCTACTTCTTGACCATGTAGATGGTTCATTCCAGACCTCTAAAATGACTTTGAGACTGTGTATTTTTTACAAGGGTTTTCCTTTATTTCCATTCGATATGTCAATAGCATAACACCTAATTTACTTAAAATAATTAGTCAACAGCAAGAAACAGAGTATTTCTCAATGAATTCATTAATTGTTTGATTTTAAAATTATCATTTTCCTCACCAGAGATAACTTACTAGAACATTATTTGAGAAATAAAAAGTATAATAATCAAAATTTTAGAATCAGGGCAATTGAATACTTAGCAGTATATTCTTAATATTTGTGGACAAAAGATCTTTTTTATATTACAACAAAGGTATTATTATGACAGGTGAAAAAGATTTATTGCAATAAAATTCTCAGTTCAAAAAATGGTAGAAATCTGTTTTTTAAAAAAAGAAAGAAGCAGCAAAAAACATAGAATACTTAGGCTATGTGGAGAGATCTTGCTAACCTGGAAGGTCTTGACTGAAAAAAATTAAGGTCAATTGAGAAAATCACAGTTAAGGAGTAAAGAGGATTTTTAAGTAAACTAAAATATCATTCAATTTTACTAAAAGAGAATTTCAGGAATATTAATATTTTAATGTTTAGTTTTTAGAAATTTGAGTCAAATACAGCTTCATATAGAAACAATACTTTACCATATCAACAGTCTTTTTTGGTGTTTCCTTAAAGGAATAAAACAAGAATTAGACACATTGTTCTCAGTGTATTGATTATACACAATTGCCTCTTAGATGTATAGAGAAAAACTACTGTTTTATAAAGAAGAAGAATAAAAATAAATTTATCTGTAATGCTTCTTTTAATCACTTTTTTATCTCTAAGATGTGGAAACATGTAAGGGACATAGTATTTGCTAAATACAATATTTCTTAAATAAATAATTGAATGAATGAATATTTCACAAGAGTAATTGAGAAAGCACATGCTTTTAGGCAACTCATTTAAATAATTTTAATAATTGCATGTTTATTTAAAACATATATATATATATAATCAAACTTGTGAGTTGAGTGAAGTATATATAACATTCCTTTTATTTTTATTTTTATTTTTTTTAATTTTTGAGACAGAGTCTCTCTCTTGTCACCCAGGCTGGAGTGCAACCGTACTCTCTTGGCTCACTGCAAACATTGCCTCCTGGGTTCAAGTGATTCTCTTGCTTCAGCCTCCCGAGTAGTTTGGATTACAGGCACCTGCCACCATACCTGGCTAATTTTTGTATTTTTTTAGTAGAGATGGGGTTTCACCATATTGGCCAGGCTAGTCTCGAACTCCCGACATCAGGTGATCCACCCGCCTTGGCCTCCCAAAGTGCGTGAGCCACCGTGCCCGGCCTAACATTTCTTATTATTAGCAATAACAAGTTTTTAAAAAGCATAATTTCAGGAAAAATATTATATAAATAATAGCTTGGATGGAGAACAGGTAAGGGGAAAAAACAAATTGAAAAGTTTAAAAGTTTACAAGAATGAAAACTTGCAGGAAAGCAAAAAACTAATTTAGAAGATTCCCTTCCCAGAGAGGATCTGGATTCAGAGAAGCAATGCCCTTTGGAGGATCATTAACAACATATCTGGACTCCGATCTCTCTTTTCCTCCCCTCCTACGTGAAATTCCCTCTCTGTCCAAGGGTAGGGCGAGGGCTGTCTCAGATACCTTGCTGCCTCTTTGCTGATCACAGGCAAGATTTCCTTTTAGGACCTGACCTCCTCCTTGCTTCTTAACCTCAGTGTCAAGTCTGACTTTATTTTTTTTCTCTGTGTCACAATGAATACCTTCAGAGGCAGAAACATCTCTTCAACTGCCCCTGTAACAAACTCAGAAAACTATCCAAGATGAAAAATCACGCTGTGGAGATCTTGCCAGGTTATAAAATAAATCTATCAGCTATCTATAAACTTCCCAGATTGGCATTGTCTGATGGGGTGGTCTTGGGTTGTCACTGCTCCCATTGAGGCCTGCCTGGAGCAGAGGTCTCCTTCTGGTCTCTCTTGCATAATGCCCATGAATGAGTTTCTAAAACTGCTTCGAGATGTAGAGTGTTGCATCAGAAATGCCAACCACTCGGGCAAAAAGCTACTGTAAATTCCCATTTATTAGTGGTTGGAAAAAAATTTTATTTCACCTCAAAGAAAAATAGTTTGAAAATACCTACCAAAACTAAAAATAAATATACTAAACCTAAACAACCCAAATGCCTTCTAAGTATAGGGCAATAGAAGACTGAATTGTGGAATATCATTAGCAGTGTAAATAGGTAGATTATACCTGCTGTAACAATATGGATAAAGTGACAATATGGATAAATGTGCTAGAAATCTGTTGAGTGAAAAATGCAACACCAAAGAGGCTACATAAAGTATGCTAGTCCTTGTAAATCTTAAAAACAAACCAAACTACATAGAGAAACTACTTTGAAATTCAGGGTTTGTATGCTTTTTAAAAGAAATGAAGCCCAATCTAAATGCTAATATGAGTTACTTGAAGGAGATTTTCAATAGGAAATAAGTCCCTTAGGATCTTTCCGATATCATCTTGTCATATTCAGAGTCTAACATTAACTATGAGAACTTACTGTGTGGTAAAAGCAATTTATTACTTAATATATTAACCTTATTAAAAGTAATGTTATTGTCTAAAATGAATGTTCTAAAGAGAAATAAACACACACAAAATTAAATAGTGTTTAGGATCATATATGTATGAAATAAAACTGTTATAAAATATAGAACTATAAGTATTAATTATGATACTCATAATTTGTAGTTACATATGTGTTACATATTAATTTATGGTATTAAAGTTTGTGATAAAAATATTATAAAAATTTCATGTACATATCCTCTAACTAAAAAATTTCACTTTTAGGAATTTTTCCTATTAATATATTCATATATGTATAAAATAAGTTATTATAAGAATATTAGTATGTTATTTTTATAATTTAAAAAATAGAAACAACATTTATCAATAGGAAACTATGAAGATGTATCAATGAAGATGTATACAGTGGAATTAACTGAAAAAATTTTAAGAAAGAATGAAAACCACTAACTGATTAAGCTTCCATTTCTCATGGGAACTGGCAAATTTAGTTTGGTTAGTTGATTCATGCAAGTTTAAACCTCCTTTACTTGATTATTCATAAAATTATGACAAAAGTAGTTGTTTGCTTTCATTATCACCGGTTTCCTATGTTTTCAATTTTTTGGTGATCATCAGTACTGTAGCATAAGGGAAAAGTCAGTGTAAAATAAGTATTCTAAGAAAGATATATAAATGTACTTATGCATATAGATGCATATACTCTCACATACACATCATCTGCTATGCTTCCATATTATTGGCAAAAGTGTAAAATATCTTAATTCTGATAGTGAGGATATATCTCAGTAAGTGTTTTTAAATTTTTATGTGTTCAAACATCCCTATAAAACTTAGATAAATTCAATAATTCTTTCTTTAAGAAAAATGCAGATGTTTACAAAACAGTGAAATTTTCCTATTTCCTATTTATCAAACTCTCCATTAGCATCAAATTAAGATCTACTACTTTCCCTTAGAAATTACAGGCTAATATGAAAACGGAAACTAGCTTTCCTATATCAATGGGGCAAAAAGGAAGGGAGGTAGAGAAAGATGATAGCACGTTTGGTGTCTGTTCATTGGTATAGGAACACTGTCCCAGGTCTGTTAACCAATTAACTCTGCAGGGCTTCCCTATGTAAATAGCAGAATCTTTATGCCAAACTAAAACTGTCATATTTTTTATATACAGAATATTTTTAATTTATATTCTAACAATGAAATAATAATCTATATTAGCAGTGACAAATTTAAGTTAATATAGTAAATAAATTTAAAGAATACAGAAAATCATGTTATTTATTATATGAGTTGATATTATATACTGTTTCCAAATGTGCTTGACTATTGGTTTTCTCAAATACAGTGTCATTAAATTGTTTCATCTTTTAGGTTTTGGAGTGAGGGTCCTCATAGGTTTGGAGTGAGGGGCTTTATTCTTGGAAAGAAATAAAAAAAAAATGTATCTACTGATTCAAGAAGAATATAGTGCCAGTCCAGCATTTGATGACAAACTTGCAACCAATTGGTGATAGAAAGGTGATGGAAAACTAACAAGAAATCTTTTCAAGAATATCTAACTTTGACAATGTGCTTCACAAATGGCACACAAGTATATTTTCTTGGGACCCTCTTGACATCCATTCATTACCTCTTTCATACTTATTTAAAAAGATACTTATAAGGAATAAGATTGGTAAAAAAATAATGCACATGCATCTAAGATATATTTCATCAATGAACCAGTAAATACATAAATACATTTTACCTGACTGGTATGTATAACTACATCCTTTTTCTCCTTATATTTCCACAAAATAAATAATACATTGTTATAAATAAAAAGCAAGTCATAATAGATAAATAAAAAGTAGTTCTTTAAATATATTTAATATAAGTGGTTTGTACTTACTTTCTGAGAGATGCCGGCAGTTTTCCTTAAAAAATATAAATAGTATGTTTAATTACTTATAAAATTTTTATTTTTCCCTTTCTTTGGACTTTTAATTATTCCCGGAGATGAAATAAGGGAAATCAAACTAGGCTTTTTATTGGGTGGCTATATTTACTGGTCCTGTAACAAGACAAAAAACCTTTAATTTTATGATTTGATCAAAAGGCTGAGGAGAACTTGTGTTATTTATTGCTCATATTAGAAAAAGTTCCCTAAAACAAATTCATTTTATGAAACAAAATGGAAATGGTTACTTGGCGTTTGAGCAAGTACTTCCTTACATTTCCCCATATTACATTTCCTTTGTTAAATGAAGGTACTGATTTCTATCCTCCCCCCTACATGAAAGAATTATTTGAAGGACCAAGTGAAATGATATATGAGCAAACACTTAGGACATGTATGTTAAATTTAAATTAAATTAGTACTTATTTGTCACTATTGCTACTATTGTTATTTGTTATTGTATTTGGACTGCCCTATTTTAAAGTTAGAACTTTTGGGTGTATTTTGCCTCGAGTTACTGTATTTTTTTTTGAGAGGGAGTCTCGCTCTGTTGCCAGGCTGGAGTGCAGTGGCAGATCTTGGCTCACTGCAACCTCCAACCCCCTGGTTCAGGTGATTCTCCTGGCTTAGTCTTCCAAGTGGCTGGGATTACAGGCACGCACCACCACCCTCAGCTAATCTTTATATTTTTAGTAGAGACAGGGTTTCACCATGTTGGCCAGGATGGTCCCGAACTCCCGTCCTCAGGTGATCCTCCTGCCTTGGCCTCCCAAAGTGCTGGGATTACAGGCCTGAGCCACTGAGCCTGGCCACTGTATATATTTTTATCCTGTACCCCTCGCCTCTTAAAAATGCAAAACTTACTAAGTGGGAACAAAGGGGTAGACACTTGTCTTATGCTGATCTCCTGGGTTTATAAAAATCTGATGTTGATAAGGAACCTGAAGAAATGGGAGGAAGTTCCACTTCTGATAAAATGGGTTGATTTTGTTCTAGAGAGAAAGGAAATTATGAATATTTATTCCAACATTTTATATCCTTCATGAGTCAAAGCAAATGTTAGCAAAACTGAATGAATTAGAACTTTAATTAGAAAATTTATAATTGGTGGCAAATTTGCTTAGAAAAAGAATAGTTTACATACATAAAAATTACCTTAACTGTTGCAGAATTTAAAAATTATCAAATTAAGTAAGACCACGGGAGAAAATTATCTATGTGGGGAAGAAAAGTATGTTTAAGAAAGAAAAAGAAAAGAAAACAATCACAAGGTACATGTCTCAACTTATTCCTTTTCCATGTGTGTTGGAAGTTAGTCTTGTCTTTGGAGTCAGAAATGAACTTTCATTCTCTTTACCCAGGGCACTGGAATCCACGACCCTGATTAAATTGCTTAAACTGTTTGAGCATTACTTATCATGTGGGATTATATCTGTTAAACTATAAAGAGAAGTTTGCCTAGTAACTAAGTGTTCTAGTAAGCTCCGGCGTCTTTGAACTGATTTTGCAAAGATTATTTTTAGGGATTAAATATAAAACCACAAAGCATTTTTTCCTCAGGAGAATTTTCATTTAATAGAGAGTGAAAAATAAGTGTGTGTAGAAAGTCAACGGGTCTTTAGAATTGTTGGATGAATCCATGGTTACGTTAAGAGAGGTACAAAATGAGAATGTTGCTGGAAGTATTTTGACAAAATGTAAGAAAGATATTTATAGCAACGTGGAAGTTAGTAACGATCTAAATTCCTAAAAAGACAGGTTTTATTTGGAGCATTCCATTTTTAAGTGTTCAAAACAGGTGTTTCTATTATAAAGGTTTTAGAAAGCATGTCTGCTCTGTGTTGAAATAAGATAATTGCCAAATTTTTAGATGAATTTACTGTGTTCCAAGCAATTTTTGTATAAATTAAATGTATATCATCTAATACAATCTTGCAGGGTTAATGCAGCTCTCCGTATTTTCAGTTAAGGAAACTGGAGCTTGGAGAGGTTAAGTAGTAACTCGTGTAGCTGGAGTTGGAATACAAGTTGCCTGACACCAAAATCCATGCGCTTTCCCTACACAGGAAGCAAACTTCTCTAATCCGCAGACGATGGATTACATCAGGAGTCCCCAACTTTTGGACATCAAGGACTGGTTTTGTGGAAGACAATTTTTCCACGGATGAGGGCGGGGGTATGGTTTCGGGATAAAACTGTTCTACCTCAGATCATCAGGCATTAGAAAGATTCTCATAAGGAGCACACAACCCAGATCCCTCACATGCGCAGTTCACAATACAATTCGCTCTCCTGAGAATCTAACGCCACCGCTGATCTGACAGAGGCGGAGCTCAGGCTAGTGCTAGCTTGCTTGCAGCTCACCTCCTGCTGTCCTGCGTGGTTCCTAACAGGCCAAGGACCGGTACCGGTACCCCCTGTGGTTTGGGGACCCCCTAGATTATATGACCTCCCGTAGCCTGAGAATGTTTACACTTCAGATAATCATCTAAGATCCCGTCGTCAAAGAGAAGTTGAGTGCGTAATAATGTGATACTTTAACTGCATTGGTATCTAACAGGTAATTTAAACTTGCAACAAACTTTCTGAAATTTGTAACTCCTCCAAAATCAGTGGATAATTTCTCAATACTCATTTTTCTTAAAATATAAATCCAGACTGATTTGACAAAAATAATAGCCAGAAATCAGAGCAACAAAAATAGCAAAAATAGGCTCCTACAAATTGGGGATAAATTTCTTTCTTTTTTTTTTTTTCTTTTTTTTTTTTTTTTGAGACGGAGTCTTGCTCGGTCGCCAGGGTAGAATGCAGTGGCCTGATCTCGGCTCACTGCAACGTCCGCCTCCCGGGTTCAAGCGATTCTCCTGCCTCAGCCTCCTGAGTAGCTGGGATTACAGGCACGCGCCACCACGCCCAGCTAACTTTTGTATTTTTAGTAGAGACGGGGTTTCACGATGTTGGCCAGGACGGTCTCGATCTCTTGACCTGGTGAACCACCCGCCTCGCCCTCCCAAAGTGCTGGGATTACAGGCGTGAGCCACCGCGCCGGCCGATAAATTTCTTAATGGGATATAATGAATTGTGTGAATATTTGAGAGAAGAAACAGCCAAAATAAGATGTTTTACTTGAAATCATAATTTATATGAGAAATTTACCAGTTGTTTTACGTAGTGCTTTTGATCCACAGTGTGCTTAACTTCCTGGTAAGAAAAAAAATTAATTTGTATACAAATATACAAAAATAAAACACTACTAAGTGGTATTAATTTTATTTTATTTGAATGAAAATTACCTCTGTGGAAACTTCTGCAGATTCCTTTTAGGGGAAGAAAAGAAGAATTAACATTACTTGCATGATTAAGCTTCGGAGTCATGCTAGAATATTAGGGGTAATTAATTAAATACTCAGGGCCCAAGCCACTACTACTCAAAAATTATGTCATTTATTAGGAATTTAATAAATTAATTAAAAAATTAAAACATTTATAATCAGAGTCATCATTATCAAAATAGCACATGAATAAAAATGTTTTATTTTAAATTTTCATAAATTTTTTATTATTCATACAATATCAAATGCCTACAGAAGGTGACAAGTGACACAAAATATTATGACACAGGCCTGGTGAGGTATGTGGCAAACCAAGTCCCACATACCCTTTCTAGAGGACACAAATGTTATCTTTAAGCGACTGTTAACTCTCCAATTGAAGATGATACTTGAAGCTTGGAAGAAGAGTAAAGCATGTTTCCTAGTCCCTGACTAGGAAGAGTGTAGGCTTCACCTAAGGCCACAAGGTTTGTGGTGCCACCATGCTTCTTCCTTTCCCAGATACTTTTTCCCATCATGTTTATTGTTTGGGTATTTCTACCATGGCAGGTGTTCTTGTGTCAGTGATATACACAACTCATAATCGAATCCCTTATTCAGCCTCTTATTTTTAAAAACAAAAGAATCTCAAATTTTAAAGTGCACCAGAATATAATGTTGTTGCTGCTAGCTGAGGGGCAACACTTTCAGAACCACCGCTCTAAGAGATATTGAGAGGTTTTTCAGGATAAAACTATGCTGAAGGCAAATGGCAGCCTCTTGATTTAACCCTGGCTTCCTTTAAAATGCAATTTTCTCTGAAATCAGATGTTTGATACACACTGTCAAAAAGCACAAAACGGGAAACCAATGTTCGGATAGTCAGTTTCAATCTCCCTCAAATACCATTGAGTTTGGGTTACAATTTGATGAACAATCTAATTGCTAAAAATCTGCCACGTCTTGGTGAACCTGCTTTTTGATGTTAAAAGAAAATAGCTCTTACCTCACTAGAAGAGCTGCTAGAAGATTGCTTGAGAAATAATAATAATAATAAAAATTTAGTGACCATAAGAAATCCCCAGCATTATTTCTTTAATGATAGAGGTTGTTTTAGATAGGCCTCAAATTACCTACGTAATCATTAGTACGGTAGATTAAAAGTATTGAAATAAAAACAACACAATAGGTTTCTCAACTGTTCATCATTGATTACCTTTGGAAAACAAGCAAAAGAGATAAAAATCACCTTATCCTTGAATGGAAATGTCTCAAGAGAATATAGAGCAATTTAGGTGAATACTATTAAAGTGGGAAGGGAGAAATTGTTATTTTAAATAAATTTATACATCTCTTTTTAGTTTACTAAGAGAGGAAATTTACAGATATTTCCACATGCCATTGATATTGTAATATTACATGTTAAGAATGTGAACAAAAATTGTTTAAGAAAATAAAAATTTCTCACCATTTCATTCATGTTTTTTGTGGTTTCCTTAAATACAGAAGAAAAATAATCAGACTTATTTTCTCCACAGCTTTGTTTATAAAGTATTTTATCCAGAACATAAAGGGAAAATTTTCTTTCCCATAAAGAGAATCATGACAATAGATTCATTTTCATTATATAAGTTTTGTATAAATTATATTAGACTTTCCCATTTAGTAATAAATATACAAGCAGTGGTAAATTGGAATGTGAGAAAAATGAGAGGAGGATTTTGCCTGCTGTATTCAGAGTATGCCTCGAGTCTAAGATAGTCTTCTCCAATACATGTTTGTCTAATAAATGAATAAACACACTATTATAATAATTTAGGCATTGCATTGACAAACTTCATTTTACTCATCATGATTTATTAGAAAAAATATATCTCCAGGCAAACTAATGTGTTTTTGGTAATGCATATATAATGTTTCTATTATGAAAATATTGATTTAAATTTAAATGAGACAATTTTAGGAAAAAATGCATATCAATCTAAATAGCAAATTAATTTTTTAAGAACGATAATGAAAATTTGGGAATTTTTAGGAATGAAGACCACTAAGTGACAAGTTCTCCACTCCTCACGAGATCTTAGAATTAAGTATATTAGTTGATTTATGCAAAAAAAATATTTTTCGGCTGAATTATTCACAGAATTTTAAAAAGAGAAGATAACTTTGTCTCATTCTTTATAAATAGTTTTGGTTTTCAAATTTGATTGCTTTGGAATATTTTAAAAATCCAGGTTAATTTCAATTTGGCTCAAAGTATGACAATATTTTTATTTCACATTCTGCTATAGATCTGCTATCAATATATACCTTACAGGAAGTAGAACAATTGTCCTTCTGAAAAGAAAAGAAAATGAAGAGGGAATGTATAATGTACTGAAATGCAGTATAATGTAATTTCACATAAATGGATAGCAAAGGAAACACAACATTGTAAACAAAAGAATGCAGAGTTGGAGAGGTAAATGTGATGAACCATTAAGAAGAAATTATTTCAAAGATATCTGTTTTAATAATAGAACTAACAAATCTTTTACTAAGACCTTTTTCATATTGCTCCACTGCATTTTGGCAAATCAATGAAAACATCACCATTTTAACAATCATAGCTAACATACTCATTTTTGGGTGAGAAAATGACCTACGTTTGATGGAAAAAGATAAGTTATCAAAAATTAATATAATGAAATAATTACATTTTACCTCATTGGGAAAAATGACTATATTCTTGACCTGCTTAAATTTCTACAAACTAAATAAAAGTCTTATATAACCTTCATTAAATAAAAAAGTTAAAATATATTTAATTTAAGGAGTTAGGACTTACTTCCTGGGAGATGCTGACAGATTACTTAAAAAAGGAAAAAACAATAGTTACTTACCTAAATTATATTTGTACTAGCTATAAGTTGTCAATTTACACTCAACATCCAGTGGTAAATAATATATTTATATTATTCTGAACTATAGGATTAAGTTGACAAAAGTTTCACTCCCCACACAACTAATTTATCATATTTTAGATAGCTAACATTTTGATATTGTGTTTTGGTTTATTAATAACTGTAACAAAACTTTCCCAAATATGAACCACAAAGAAGAAAAGAAATTTTTATATTTCTTCTACATAATTTTGAATTTTCCTCTGCTTTTTAAAGGGGTTAAACACATTGCAGAAAAAAAAAAGCCTTTGGGCAACAGTAAAAATGTGTGTGTGTCTTTTATGCACCCCTGCCCAGAAAAATCATTTGGAAATTAACATTTAATATGGACCCAGATGAATATGAGTTCTTATTTCAGAAATGTAGAATGAATTCCTGTCACTCTTCTCCCAAGATGTAGAATATTCACCATAGCTTCTGAGCTAATATCTTTAACATTAGGAACTATTCAGAGGAAAAAATGCACAAATTTAATCTGGTTAATTTGAATGTGTACATTTTTGGTCTTAACACATATAAAGACTTAGTTTAGGACATATCACGTGTTTACTAGGTGGAAGAATTAAAGTGTCTTACCTCGCTGGAGGAGTGATGCTCCATATTCTATATAAAAAACAAAAAGTAATTCAAGTTTCACTTTTATCGCTTATTTAAAATGTAAAACTGTCTTTCCATTTTGTTTCTTTTGTTTCTTGGTGGCAAGGGAATTTTAGTCATCTGATTCTAGGAACTTTTAGTTGCATAGAGTTTCTTTGCAAAATTCTCTTGGTTTCCTATAATGTTAATGAGCAAATCACTGTATACCTCAAGTGAATTCTTGTCATGGTTTAATATATTTCTTTTAGGAAGTAGGTGGGTTCTTAGCTTTTGAGTATTAACTGTTTCACCATTTAAAATATAATTATATTCATAAATGTACCACCAAATCTTAAAGTGTTAAGACTCTGGTGTAATATTTTATTTTACTTCACTTATACTGTTAGAATTAAAAATATTGGGCGAGTGCTTCTGTCAAGTGGCATAAAAAGTTGAAGATTAATTTTTAAAATATGAAAAACTGTCATACAAACTCAATTTTGTACTTATGTTCTCAATAGATTGTGACAAATTTAGCTTTTAATATCTGTGGTCTGTCACTTGCTAGTGCAGCCACCATATTCTTAGTTGAATAAAATTGTTTTATTTAAATAAAAGATCAAAGGCAATTATTGACTAGAGAGAAAGGGAACAAAGTCAGAGTAGATCATAAGAACAATCAATCTTGGTGGGTGTGAGATTGCCAAAGTACTATTATTATTTTTTTATTTACCTAACTAGAATTCTTATCTAGCTTTGCCCTTAAATTGGCTCTAAATTTAAGAAATAACAAAAACTTGTCAAGATTTATGTGAGCGATATGGAGACATAGATGAAGCAAAGAACTCTGATCACCCTAAAGAAATGGTGTGCTTATGAGAAGTAAGATACTGGGTATGGGAAAGGTATGGATGGTGCCAGCTGCAGGGTAAGGCAAAAAAAAAAAGAAAAAATGAGTTACTTCTGAGGAAGTGAATAGAGTAAATGTGTGCGTGCGTGTGTGTGTGTGTGTGTTTTCAAAGTAATTCACTCAAAGTAATATTGCCATCCTTATCATTTTTTATATGAATATTAGTACTATATTCTCTCAAGAAAAATATAATGCTTTGAGAAGCTGAGGAATTGTTTTGCATTAGGTTATTTTTGCAAGTAATTTACAAAGTCACCCTTGTTTCCTGTCTGATCTTCCTAGCTCTGAACTAATGTAATCAAGAATGGTGAAACTCTATCACTTATTTGAGAGATGGTTTTGGAGTCTACATTTTATCTGTGGCTTTTCTGCGCTTTCAAAGAGATATGCCACGGGAGTGAAAACAGTTCCCTGGTGAATGCAAACAGACAGAGATGGAAGTATAGGCCTTTTAACCCACAAGTAAAAAATCTCCACAGAACTACAAGAATACATCATACAAAGTGTGTCCACTTTCATATCTTGTATAAGGTAGGGCCAATGCTGTCTTTGATTATAGTTTTATAAGTTCACACACTTAATTTCTGTTCCTTGCTGCCCACCCCTGCCTTCATTTGCATAAAATATTTACCCTTATATTTAAATTAGAATAGATACTTGTAAATGTTTCATTATACTTACATGCTTTGCAAGAGCAATAGCCAAAAGACAAGTAAAGATGAAGAACTTCATATTTACTGAGTCCTATAAAACAGGTATGTAGCAAATCAATAATAATTTAACTCCCTAAAATCACACATTTCCTCATTAACTCTGTTTTAATTTATAATCACAGATAAGTGGGAAATACAAATGATGGGTAAAAGCAGATTCATTTGAGAAACATGGATATGAATATGACAAGTTTTTTACTTTAATACATTTTTAAGATAAAATTTATTAATAGAAAATAATATACAATATCGGTTTCTAAAATATAAAAGGTATTTTCAGGAATAGTAAATTAGTAGGAATATTGGTCCTATGTAGAATTGGTTAATTTATTTATCAATTTGCTTATTCAATAAATAATTGCTACCACATGCCAGGCACTGTTCTAGACATGAAGATATGTTGATACACACAACAGGTGTAATCTACCAGGCCATATTATTTACAATTCTTCAACCTTTTGGAGAACAATTACTAGAAATGCAAAATAGAACAGACTCATTTGCAGATTAGTTTCCAGGTGAGCCAAAAATGCAGTATGTCAAGAAGTAGCAGGTAGAAGTAATACTGTGTGGGTGCATCTATGGTCCTACTAGTCCTAACTTGACATGGGACTGGCTACTGAAGCTTAGCAAGTCACTGAACATCTGTGCCCCTCCTTTCAGATATCTTAAGTAATGAAAGACTTTACATGATTGCTTTGACATATCTCTTTGACATAAATCAATTTCTCATAGTATGATACATATAACTCCACGGATTTTCTGACCACATATCAGCTCAACTTTTCCTGTGATTAAACAAAGAACTGAAAACTAAAGTTATGTTATTCAGTATCTTGCTCATTATATCTTATAAATCTTAAATTAATTATTTTTAAAGAACAATTTTTTCACACAGTTTTAAATATGCCAGTGAGCCATAAATATGCAAATCTAAAGAATGTGTACACATAGGCATTATGTTATGTCATATACAGAGATTTGCATTATCTGCTTGTTATTAATTTCTTACTCTATTAAAATAACTCTAATAAAATATCTGATATTTGTTTACTTTTATAGGATAAAATGATCTTTATGCATATATAAAATTAATTTTAGAAACATTTTATAAAAATGTTTTAAAATGATAAGTTCATAATTACATTATTGCCTGTTAATATTTGAAATACATTTATCATTTATTGTAGTTTTTCAATTTTCATCATTATATTTTTCATGTGAAAGGAAACTAGAACATGGACAGATGTTAACTGAGAGTTAAAGAAATACTTTAACTTGTTGGTAATTGAGAAATTTAGAAATAGGTGCAGTTACTAAGTATCTGCTCCATCCCAGACACTGTGCTGGATATGTTTTAAATACTGTCTGTAGTCTTCAGAACAACTATGTTAGATAAATGTTTTGCTGTGTGGATACCAGATAAAAAAGTAATCTAGGAGGTCAGAAATCAAACACACAGTGGCCTGGATTTCCAAAAACTTCATTATATTGACCTTGCCCTTAAAAGAAGGCTTTGACATCATAAGATGGAACAGCATAATTAACCGTTTTCAGTGTCTCTTTCTCAATCTTAATTCTATCCATAGCATCCAAATGGAGATAAATCAGTAGCTTATGTTAGTTATAAAACAATCTCTCAAAGAATTCTAAGGTATAGTGGCATAAATTTCTTTAAATAAATTTTGCAGATCATTAGGTTTTACAATATCATTAGGCATGTAGAATAACAGGGATACATGAAAATACTGCCTTATTTCCTAAATGGCAGATAAGAAGTCTAAGCAGAGGGAGACCTTAGGTGGGTTATCGTAGCACTATTTAAATCTTGCTCTTGCATGATGTGGTCATTCAGTGGTTTGAAATATCTATAAGGGATTTGAATTCTAGGAAGTCATAATGATTAGAAATTGTTTTTCCATTTATTTTTGTAAGACATATTCCAAGAAGTGTTTTCACTCAGGTTGATCTAGAACATGATAGATAGAAATGAGGATGTTATTATGTACAATGATTATCTATATTCCAGTTTGTATAGCTTACCTCTGCCAGGTAACTGCATGGCTCAAGATAATTTTTTATTTTTTTTTGTTTTTTGTTGTAATAATATAATCTTTTTATTAACAGACTTCTGCCTACTTTCTGCTGGAAAATTGTTTTAAAATATCTAGAGCAGCAGTATATTTTTTTCAAATTTGTTTTAAATTGACAAATAAAATTGTATGTATTTATCATGTGTACCTTAATGTTTGCAATTACACACACACACACACATATATATATACATATATATATATATATATATATATATATATATATATATATATATGTGAGCTTCATGCCCTACCTACTGAGTATATATATATAGTGAATGGTTAAACGTTGCTAATTAACAAATGCATTACCTCACATAGTTATTTTTTGTCGTAAGATCACTTAATGTCTATGCTCAAGAATGCATTATGTATTAACTATAGTCACCATACTTTACAATAGGTCTCTTGAACTTATTTCTTTTATGTAAGTCTAATTATGTATCCTTTGACCAGCATCAGTCTCTAGCAACTGCCATTCTACTTTTTACTTTTATGAGATCACCTTTTTGAGATTCCAATATGAGATCATAAAGTATTTGTTTTCCAGTGCTTAGCTTACCTCATTTAGCATAATGTTCTCCAGGTTCATTGATGTCACAAATTACAGAATTTTCTTCTCTTTTATATCTAAATAGTATTCCAATGAGTGCATATATTACATTTTCTTTATTTATCTGTTGATGAATACTTACGTTGATTTCATATCTTGGCCACTGGGAATATTGCTGGGGTAAACATGGGAGTGCAGATATCTCTTCAACATCTGATTTAATTTCCTTGGGCTAGAAGCCTGGCTAGCTCAGTAGGTAGGGCATGAAGCTCTTAATTTCCTTGGGCTATGCATCCAGTAGTGGGATTGCTGGATCATATGCTTGTCCTATTTTTAATTCTTTGAGGAACCTCTATATTGTGTTTCATAATGTCTGTACCAGTTTACCTTGCCACTAACAGTGTAAAAGTGTTTTTTTTTCCTCCACATCTTTGCCAATATCTTTATCTTTTATCTTTTGGATAATTGTCATTCTGTCAGGTGTGGAGTGATATCTCACTGTGGTTTCAATTTGCATTTGCCTTATAATTAGTGATTTTGATTTTTTTTATATATCTGTTGGCCCTTTGTAGTCTTCTTTTGAGAAATATCTACTCTGGTCTTTTGCCCATTTTTAATCAGGTTATTTGGATCTTTGCTATTGGGCTTTTTAGTTTGATATGATCCAATATGTCTGTTTTTGCTTTTGTTTGTTGCATATGCTTTTGAGGTCCTATACAAAAAAAATCATTGCATAAACCAATGTCATGAATGTTTTCCCTATATTTTCTTCCAATAGTTTCGTAGTTTCAAGTTTTACATTTAAGTCTTTAATCCATTTTGAGTGATCATTGAATATGATGAGAGATAAGGGTATAATTCTATTTTTCTGGATGTGAATACCCCAACATCATTTATTAGAGACCCTTCTTTCCCCACTGTGTTTTCTTGGTGCCTTGTTGAAAATCAGTTGGCTGTAAATACATGGATATTTTTTTTCATGGCTCTCTATTCTGTTCCTTTGGTCTGTGTGTCTGTTTTTACGCCAGTACCATGCTGCTTGGGTTACTATAGCTTTGTAATATATTTTAATGTCAAGTAGTGCTATGCTTCCAGCTTTGTTCTTTTTTTCTCAAGATTGCTTTGGTTGCTCAGGGTCCTTTGTGATTCCATACAAATATCAAGAATTTGTTTTTTTTGTGAAGACTGTCATTGATATTTTGCTAGGGATTGTATTGAATCTGTAGATTGCTTTAGGTAGTATAAAAATTTCAGCTTGCTAATATGTTGTTGAGGATTTTTGCATCTATGATCATCAGCGATATTAACCGGTAGGTTTAATTTTTGTCGTTTCTTTGTCTGATTTTGGTGTCAGGATAATACTGGCCTCATAGAATGAATTAGAAAGAATTTTCTCCTCTACAATTTTCTGGAACATTATGAGAAGAATTAGTTATTAGGTCTCATTAAATGTTAGGTAAAATTCAGCAGTGAGGCCATCAGATCCTTGGCTTATCTTTGATGGAAGACTTTTTATTACTTATTCAATTTCCTTATTCATTATTGATCTGTTCAGATTGTTTATTTCTTCATAATTTATTCTTGGTATCTACATGGTAGGTAGTATGTGCCCAGTAATTTATCTATTTCTTCTATGTTATCCAATTTGTTGGTGTATAATTTCTCATAATAGTCTCCTATGGTCCTTTGTTATTTATGTGGTATCAGCTATAATATCTCCTTTTTTATCTCTGATTTTATCTATTTGAGCCTTCTTTCTGTTTTTCTTAGGTAATCTAGCTAAAAGTTTGTTTATTTTATCTTCTATAAAAAACAAGTTGTCATTTTGTTGATTCTGAATTGTTTTCCTAGTCTCTATTCCATTTATATCTGTTCTGATATTTATTATATTCCTTCTTCTTTGGGGGGCTTAGTTTTGTCTTGTTTTTTGAGTTCCTTGAGGTGTGATGTGACATGGTTTATTTGATATCTTTCTTCTTTTTAGATGTAGGCATTTATTTCCATAAACTTCATCTTAGAGCTGCTTTTGCTGTATCCCATAGGTTTTTGTATGCTGTGTTCCCATTTTCATTTTTCTTAGGAATTTTTAAAATTTCTCTTTTAATTTCTTCACTGACCCATTGGCTGTTCAGGCATATGTGGTTCAATTTTCAGGTATTTGTGAATAATCCAAAGTTCCCCCTGTTATTTTTTCTAGGTTTATATCATAATGATCAGAAAACATACTTAATGTGATTTAAATATTCTTAAAGTTGTTAAGACTTTTTTTGTGGCCTACTGTATCATCTCTTCTGGAGAATGTTCCATGTGCGGTTGAGAAGAATGTGTATTCTGCAGCTTTTAGATGCATGGTCCATTTGGTCTAATGTACTTAAGTCCAGTGTTTTCTTATTCATTTTTTGTCTGTTATCTGTCCATTGGTGAAAGTGGGGTATTAAAGTCTTCTACTTTATTATTATTATTTAAAACATTATTTTATTGCAGTTTATCTCTTCCTTCAGATTTATTAACAGTTGCTTTATATATTTAGATACTTTAATATTAGATGCAAATATACTTACAGCTGTTATATTTTCTTGCTGAACTAATCACTACATGACTTCATAATAACTTTCTTTGTCTCTTTTTATAATTTTTGACTTAAAGTCTACTTTATCTGATATAACTATTGGTGTTCTCTTTTTCTATGCATTTGCATGTAGTATTTTTTCTTTCCTTCATTTGCAGTCTATGAGTGTCCTTATGGGTGAAGTGAGTCTCTTCTTGGTAGCATATAGACAAGTTTTGTTTCTATTCATTCAACCACCCTGTCTTTTGATTGGATTATTTAATCCATTTACTACATTCAAGGTAATTAGTAATGGGTAAATACTTACTACTGCCACTTTGTTATTTCTAGTGATTTTGTAGATTCTTTCTTCCTCTTATAGAGTTTTCCTTTGTGGTTAAATAATTTTCTCTGCTAGTACATTTTGATTTCTCACCTCTTATTTTTTGTGTTCTGATTGTAGGTTTTGGCTTTGTGGCTACCATGAGGTTTTCAAAAACCTCTTATAATAGGTTATTTTAAGCAATAACAATCAAACTTTGATTGCAAAAACAAAAACAAAAAACAAAAACAAGACACCTTGGTATATTAATATAAGTAATTTACACACCATCATTACAATATTAAAGTATTCCAAATTCACTACTTTACACTAGTGAGAATTACTGCTAAGGAGCACTCCCAGAAAAAGTCAGACTGCAGTTATACTTTGAGAGAATTACACTTTTAGCTGTTTTCATGTTACTCATTAGCACCCTTCTCTTTCACTTTAAGTAATTCTTTAGCATTTTTTTTTAAAGCAGAGCTAGTGATGATCAGCTTTTGTTTGTCTGGGAAAATATTTATTTCTCCTTAATTTCTAAAGGACACCTTTCCTTGGTACAATATTATTGGTTGGCGGGTTTTTTTCTTTCAGCAAATTGAATATATTATTTCTCTCTCCTGTCCTGTAAGATTTCTGTTGAGACGTCTGCTTCTAGGCATACTATGACTCTCTTTTACGTTTCTTGCCTCTTTTTTCTTGCTGCTTTCAGGATCCTCTGTTTGTCTTTGATTGTTGACCATTTGAATATATTATATCTTGGGTTATCTTATATGGATTGAATTTGATTGGAGATTTTTTACCTCCATGTATCTGAATATTTAGATCTTTCACCAGGAAAGTTTTTTGCTATTATTTTAGAAAATGCTCTTTTAATCCTTTTATCTTTCTCTACTCTCTCTTGAATTACAATAACTAAAAAATTTGCCCTTTCTTGCTGTTCCATAAATCCCATAAGCTTTATTTATTCTATTTTCTTTTTTTCTGCCTATATGATTAAAAATAGCCTGCCTTCAGGTACACATATTTTTCTTTTGCTTGATCAATTCTATTGTTATTGTAGTTTTCATTTAATTGTTTGTAATTTTTAGCTCCAAAATTTCTTTTTTTGATGATTTCAATTTCTGTGTTAATTTTTTATATGATCACTTATTGTTTTCCTCATGCGTTGAATTTTTTCTCTGTATTTCTTGAAGTTTGTTGAGCTTTCTTAAAACAGCTATTTTAAATTCTTTTTTACATAATTCGTACATCTCCATTTGCTTAAGATTGGTCATTGACACCTTACTTTGTTTGTTTGGTGATATCATGTGTTTTTATTTTTCTTAATTCTTGTGGTTTTTCACTGATGTCTGTGAATTGGAGAAGTAGGTACTTGATTCTGTTCTTTACAGCCTGGCTTTGTCTGGGTAAGCTCCTTAACAGTAAACCTGTCCAGAGATTCTGGAAAAACTGTCTGGCATGGTCCCTAAGTTCATGACTGCTACAGCCATTGCATCACTAGACGGCATCCTAAGCCTAGGGCCATAGTGGCTGGTACAGTGCCAGGCTGGAATTCTTTGGTCACTAATGCCAGTGCAGTGTTTGGGCACACCCACAGCTCATAGACACTGAGGCCTGCTTGCTAGCAAAGTTTGTCTGGAGCCCTTGGCCACTGTTTTTGGCTAGCAGTTATGTGGATTGCAGATCAAATCCACTTGGTAGTAGTTACAGGTTCTTACCTGGCACCAGAGTAAGTCTGGGGGTTCAGTCCTTGGGTACTGGCTTGGTGTCTGCCTGGCATTAGGTTTTACTATGACAGTAATGGTTTTGGGGTTGAAGAAAAAAATCCTATGTTTACTCCCGTCTCTCTTCCTCAAGTGTATACCTCTCCATGCTCTGCTGCCTGGGGGTGGAAAAGAAGTGATATGGGTATTGCAAAATTATCCTTCCTATGCTGTTTAATGTATCTCTTTTTATTATTATGCTACAACTAGATACTATGATTTTTCACCTGGCTTTCTGAGTCCCTGTGAAGGTATTTTTTGTGCATGGATGTTGTTGAAACTGCTGTTTCTGTCAGGAGACAATTGCTGGAGAGTCCTACATATTTCTCTGCCCTCTCCAAATGCTGATTTTTCCTAGAGGTATTTCAGTGTGTTCTCTAGTCTAAAATATCCTAAATAAATATACCAAATTACATTTTTGATACATCAGATTGTGTAAGTATGTGAAAAAATGCTTACATATGTAAGTATTTTTTATGTGATCCCAATATCCATTGCCTATAATTTGTCAACAATAAAAATAAAATAAGCTATATACATGTTTATGTGATATAATGGGAAACTCAGCTCTCTAACTTAATAGCAGTAACTTTCATTAAAGTTTGTTTTCTTAATTTCTTTCAGAGGTTTCTACATATTGAAATAATAATAGTAATATTTAACATATAAAGATGTAGTGGTTAGCAATAATTTATATAAAGTAAATTGGTATCTACATGGTGATTACTTTTTCAGAAGTCACAAGGTAAAATGTGACCAAGCAGATCAAACATCTCTGCTCTGCTTCCTGGGGGTAGAAAACAGGCGACATGGTGAATGTAAAATTACCCATGGGTAAACATGGGTAAACTAAAATTATTTTAGTTAAACCTGGACCTGCCTAAAGTAGGTCCAGGTTTAAGTAAAGTAAGGTATTGTGGGAACAGAGGCCTTCCTAAAAGTGCTAGCCTGATCTGAACAGAAAAGTTAATAGTTCCAGTCAATCTCGAAATATAAAATATATGCCTCATTCTTGCCACTTCTGCTGTTTTTCAATATTTCTTTAAAATTTTTTACATATTATCCAAATTTAAAACTGTTAAAAAGTTTTGCATCTGGCCGGGTGCGGTGGCTCACGCCTGTAATCCCAGCACTTTGGGAGTCTGAGGGGGGTGGATTACAAGGTCAGGAGATCAAGACCATCCTGGCTAACACTAAAATTAGTTTAACCTGGACCTGCCTAAAGTAGGTTATATTTGAATCTAAAATAGGTACATATTTCCCATCTCTACTAAAAATACAAAAAATTAGCCAGATGTAGTTGCATGCACCTGTAGTCCTAGCTACTCTGGAGGCTGGGACAGGAGAATCGCTTGAACCTGGGAGGTGGAGGTTGCAGTGAGCCGAGATCATGCCACTGCACTCCAGCCTGGGTGAAAGAGTGAGACTCTGTCTCAAAAAAAAAAAAAAAATTGTGTGTCTAAGGCTGGACATGGTGGTTCATGCCTGTAATCCCAGAATGTTGAAAGGCCAAGGTAGGAGGATCGCTTGACCACTGGAGTTTGAGACTGGCTGGGCAACACAGTGAGGCCTTGTCTCTACCATAAATAAAAAAATTAGCCTGAAGTGGTGGCACATGCCTGTACTTCCAGCTACTCAGGAGGCTGAGGTGGGAGGATCGCTTGAGCCCAGGAGTTGGAGGCTGTAGTGAGCCATAATTATACCACTGCACCCTAGCCTGACCAACAAAGAAAGAGCCTTTCTCAAAAACAAATCAAACAACCCCATCAAAAAGTGGGCAAAGGATATGAACAGACACTTCTCAAAAGAAGACATTTTTGTAGCCAACAGACACATGAAAAATGCTCATCATCACTGGCCATCAGAGAAATGCAAATCAAAACCACAATGAGATACCATCTCACACCAGTTAGAATGGCAATCATTAAAAAGTCAGGAAACAACAGGTGCTGGAGAGGATGTGGAGAAATAGGAACACTTTTACACTGTTGGTGGGACTGTAAACCAGTTCAACCATTGTGGAAGAGAGTGTGGTGATTCCTCAAGGATCTAGAACTAGAAATACCATTTGACCCAGCCATTCCATTACTGGGTATATACCCAAAGGATTATAAATCATGGTGCTATAAAGACACACACACACATATATTTATTGTGGCACTATTCACAATAGCAAAGACTTGGAACCAACCCAGATGTCCATCAATGATAGACTGGATTAAGAAAACATGGCACATATGCACCATGGAATACTATGCAGCCATAAAAAATGATGAGTTCATGTCCTTTGTAGGGACATGGATGAAGCTGGAAACTATCATTCTCATCAAACTATCGCAAGGAGAGAAAACCAAACACTGCATGTTCTCACTCACAGGTGGGAATTGAACAATGAGAACACTTGGACACAGGGTGGGGAACATCACACACTGGGGCCTGTCATGGGGTGGAGGGAAGGGGGAGAGATAGCATTAGGAGATATACCTAATGTAAATGACGAGTTAATGGGCGCAGCACACCAACATGGCGAATGTATACATATGTAACAAACCTGCACGTTGTGCACATGTACCCTAGAACTTAAAGTATAAAAAGAAAAAAATAGGGAACTATAAACAGTAAAAAAAAAGAGAAGAAAAGAAAAGAAAAAAGAAATAAAGGGAGAGAAGAGGAAGAGGGACGAAGAAGTGTTCCTCTTCCTGCCTTTGGTGTATGGAAGTGATACTTGGAGCTATAATAGCCATCTTATGGTCATGAGAGGTCAAGCCTGAAAACAAAAAATCAACATGCTGTGGCTGGCAAAACAGAAATGTGAAAAGCACCTGTATTCATAATGACATTGAAATGCCACTGAATTAACCAACCACAAAAAGCCCTAGCTACAGACTTCTTTATGAGTGAGGAAATCTTTAAAATCTATTTTGTTTAGGTTGGGCATTATGCTACTTGCAATCAGAAGCATTCTAAATTCCATAAGAAGATGCTGTCCTTCTATTAAAGTTTTTAGGGAAGAATTAATGAAATGTACATGCAAAACTAAGTATCCCCCAAAGACAAGAAAATTATTAATTTCAGGCAAAACAAAAAAACTGTACAAAAATTTCAGTAAAATATATATGAACTGCAGAAAGCGTGTACATAATAATAAAATAATCATTAAATAAAGCCAAAGCAAGAACAAAAACGAACAAAAAAAGTGTTTGCCTACAGTACCCAAGGATGGCTGGATTTTGCCCAAGTGCCAAAATGCTAATTTCTAGGTGTCTGTAATTGTTGGAAGATGGAGAGTTTTGGAAAAGCAAGTCTCCTAATTATCTGAAGCATTGATATTTAAGCACTAGAACGTTAAAATTTCTAATAATTTTACGGATAAATATTTGTCAAATTTACCGCGTATGTGAATATATTTTTAATACTACAGAGGACTGATTATTATCTTTAGTATTTATAGCTATTCATAGATTTAAATCTTTTTCTTTCATGGGGCTATGGTTTATAGAACTGCCATTATTTTATTGTTTCTGATTTTTATGTAACCTTCATTGCTGCCTAGCGATCATTTTGTTTGACATGGAACTATATGAATAACTTTGTCCTCCTGAGGAGAAGAAATCTGGTTTTTCACATTTCTGTATTTGTCACTCACGTTGGTCTAGCACTTCTTGATGTTTAGTAAGCTCTTTAATTTCCCTTAACAATCAGTATTGCTTGTCTTTAGCAGCAACTGTTTTAGCCCTTGCTTATTTGTTTTAATTTCTGAGAGTTTGGAAATCAGACAACCATGCTTGCTCACTTTTGTGACTCTTCATTAATTGTTCTGAGTTACGTCTCTGTGAGATATGGGCCTATCTGCTCTTTCCTCATTCTCTACAAGCTTACTTTTATGTTTGTTACTTTTTCTTTGTACAGCTTTACTTGTTTCATTTGCACCTGCTTCTTCGCTTAGCCTAAAATATCCTTAATTCTCCTTCATTTTACAGATACCATCACTCTGTTCCACCCACTAACTGAATCACCCATTTTCCCCTTTCATTAGCCACCAAAATTCTTGGAAACATTTATACTTTGACTTCTTCCACCTAATCTTTTCAATCTATTGCTTCTGCATAGTTTATCTGATATTGCTCATACTCAGCTTTCTAACAGGCTTTCTTACATCTTGTCTGTTATTTGTAAAATGCATTTTCAAGAGCAACTTCACAAACATTTTCTCTCTAAAGTAGATATAATAGGTAATTTTACTGAATCAAACATTTCTACGGTCTTGTTATAAAATCTAGGTAATGTTCAAGATATTTAACGTAGAATTCACGATCAATCAAAATCGTTCTAGGAGATATTTCTGACTCCATGTTTTGACATGTTGCATGTGCCATTTACAATCTTTCCAGAGTACATGCAACACTCCATATTTCCTCTACCTGAAAATGCCCTTTTTTTACATTTTCTATATTCTCTCTCATGACAATTTTCATATGTTCGTGAAGATTCAGTTAAAAATTGAATCCATCTGTGAAATGATCTCCAAAATATTTGACAAACACAGTAATTCTTTTTGTAGTACACTTGAGCTTTTTGTATATGCAATGGAGAAAATATTTTGACAGATGCTGAAGTTGACAATACAGTTAAGATTCTTTACTTTGTGTGAATAATTCTTGAGTATCTAGTATGTGCCAGGAATTTTTCTAAGCATCTGGAATAAAATCACAAACAACAATGACAATAAGAAATTCTGCTTTTTGTGGAGCTTATATTTTGACTGGCTGAGAAAAATGAACATATGAAAAGTAATATATGATTGGTTGGATAGTGAATCATACTAAGGCAACAACTGAGTTGGAGAAAGAGGATAAAAAACATTGGTCGGGATCGGGTGTTCTCTGTTAGAAAGGATGGCCAGGAAATGCCTCCCTGAGCAGGAGAGTAAAATCTTCAAGGAAATAAGAAACAAAACCTTGCAGACAGTCCAGGAGGAAATCACTTGCAAAGAGCTTGATATATAACCATGCCTGGCAACTTTGAGAAATATTGTATAGGCCAGTGTAGTTGGATAATAGTGAATGTGGTCAAAATGAGGTCAGAAAGACAAATGGGACCATAATATAGGGCGTTTGAGTATTATGGAGACTTCAATAAAACATTTATGCAATTGGAAATTGATATAAAGTTGAAGAGAACTCTAGATTACCTGCTAAAAGTAAACTGAAGGAGCAATTTGGAGGATATTTCAATAGTTCTTACATATTAGTATGGTAGCAGTGGGGATAGTGAGAAATTGTCACATTCTAGACATAATTTGAAAGTTATGGCAAATGTAGCTTAATAGGTTGGAATTGAGGTGTGAGAGAAAAAACGGTTAATAATTGTCCCAGGTTTTTTGCTTGCTTACCTAGAAAAATGTAATTATTACTGAGCTGGCAAAGATAGAGAGAAGAGCTGGTTTGGGGGAGAACATTAGGAACTTAGTTTTATAAAAGTTTACTTTGTGATGCCTGTTAGATATTTAAGTTGTAATATGAACAGTGTACAATAACAGTTGTGCCATGAACAGTGTACAATAATACTTAACTACCTAAAGGCTTTGGTGCAAATATTAAAGGCCATAGTTAAAGGCTTCGGTGAGAATATTAAAGCCCTTATCTGTATTAGTTATTATTATGATTTAACCTTTTCTGATGCTGAACTCTCACTTGGATGTTGTTTAAATCACAATAAATCAATCAAAAAGACTTTAAGAAGTACATAAAAGACATACCTAATACAGTGTAATACAGTTACACTGCTGGCAACAATCGACTTTACAAAAAAAATTAGTTGTATGAATAAATACTAAGCAATTAGAGATAATAGGGATGAGTAGTACAACAGGAAAGCTACAATCTGCAAATCCGTCTTGTACATGTTCTTGGCTTTTTGATATCTGCTAAGTACCCTAACATGCAACAAGTAAAATCAGCAACACTTGTCATCAAATTCATTCAAAGTAAATGCAACTTTCACTCATTTGGGGATCTATTGAAATGCTGATGTCTTGGCTCTGTCAGAGATTTTTATTCAATTGGTGGGATTCTGGCAACTATATTTTATTAAATTCCCTAATGCATTCTAACATGTGGTTAGGATTAAAAACTCTTCTTGGTCTTATATGAAAGCATGAATACTGAAGACCTGGGAATATTATAACCTTTCTTTTTAGAATAACAATTTAATCTTTTTAAATACACCATGTAAAAAACTTCAAATTCTGCAACAGATTAAACATTTTTACTTTAAAAATTGATGTCTCATCTTTTTAAAGATAAAACTTTTTTTGATTCAAAGTTGAAAGCTGCAAATGATTATAGATATGCTAAATATACTTCTGCACAGTTTAATTTGAATTTCAATGAACAATGACAAGGATTTCTTATTCTTCTCCACAACAAGACAGATAATCCTAGTTACCTCTGAGAAAGTAAGGACAAGAATAGAATTGAGTGGGAAGAACAAAATTTCAGTTGCATTCAGAATAATTTTTCTTTTCGTTAATAACTTTAAAAAAATGAAGTATGATTATATGTGGTGAATCCTATTTTAGGTGGCTATGTCAATCTGTTATCAGGGTAGAAATACATAGTGTCTCTATCATCCCCTAAATATGGAAACCTAATTTAGTCCAATAGGCAGTAAAGAACTTTAAGGTTTTTTGATCAGAAAAAGACAGACATGCACATAAAAGCAGTGTACAGCTAACATGAGAATGAAAAAAAAATTAAAGCAAAATTAAAGCTCTTTCCACTTTGAAAACTGGTACAAGACAGGGATGCCCTCTCTCACCACTCCTATTCAACATAGTGTTGAAAGTTCTGGCCAGGGCAATCAGCCAGGAGAAAGAAATAAAGGGTGTTCAATTAGGAAAAGAGGAAGTCAAATTGTCCCTGTTTGCAGATGCCATGATTGTATATTTAGAAAATCCCATCGTCTCAGCCCAAAATCTCCTTAAGCTGATAAGCAACTTCAGCAAAGACTCAGGATACAAAATCAATGTGCAAAAATCACAAGCATTCTTATACACCAATAACAGGCAAACAGAGAGCCAAATCATGAGTGAACTCCCATTCACAATTGCTTCAAAGAGAATAAAATACCTAGGAATCCAACTTACAAGGGATGTGAATGTCCTCTTCAAGGAGAACTACAAACCACTGCTCAGTGAAATAAAAGAGGACACAAACAAATGGAAGAACGTTCTATGCTCATGGATAGGAAGAATCAATATCATGAAAATGGCCATACTGCCCAAGGTAATTTATAGATTCAATGCCATCCCCATCAAGCTACCAATGACTTTCTTCACAGAATTGGAAAAAAACTGCTTTAAAGTTCATATGGAACCAAAACAGGGCCCTCATTGCCAAGACAATCCTAAGCCAAAAGAACAAAGCTGGAGGCATCACGCTACCTGACTTCAAACTATACTACAAGGCTACAGTAACCAAAACAGCATGGTATTGATACAAAAACAGAGATATAGACCAATGGAACAGAACAGAGACCTCAGAAATAATACCACACATCTACAACCATCTGATCTTTGACAAACCTGACAAAAACAAACACTGGGGAAAGGATTCCCTATTTAATAAATGGTGCTGGAAAAACTGGCTAGCCATATGTAGAAAGCTGAAACTGGATCCCTTCCTTACACCTTACACAAAAATTAATTCAAGATGGATTAAAGACTTACATGTTAGACCTGAAACCATAAAAAACCTAGAAGAAAACCTAGGCAATACCATTCAGGACATAGGCATGGGCAAGGACTTCATGTCTAAAACACCAAAAGCAATGGCAACAAAAGCCAAAATTGACAAATGGGATCTAATTAAACTAAAGAGCTTCTGCACAGCAAAAGAAACTACCATCAGAGTGAATAGGCAACCTACAGAATGGGAGAAAATTTTTGCAATCTACTCATCTGACAAAGGGCTAATATCCAGAATCTATAAAGAACTCCAACAAATTTACAAGAAAAAAACAAACAACCCCATCAAAAAGCGGGCAAAGGTTATGAACAGACACTTCTCAAAAGAAGACATTTATGCAGCCAACAGACACATGAAAAAATGCTCATCATCACTGGCCATCAGAGAAATGCAAATTAAAACCACAGTGAGATACCATCTCACAACAGTTAGAATGGCAATCATTAAAAAGTCAGGAAACAACAGGTGCTGGAGAGGATGTGGAGAAATAGGAACACTTTTATACTGTTGATGGGACTTTAAACTAGTTCAACCATTGTGGAAGAGAGTGTGGCGATTCCTCAAGGATCTAGAACTAGAAATACCATTTGACCCAGCCTTCTCATTACTGGGTATATACCTAAAGGATTATAAATCATGCTGCTATAAAGACACATGCACACGTATGTTTATTGCGGCACTATTTACAAGAGCAAAGACTTGGAACCAACCCAAATGTCCAACAATGATAGACTGGATTAAGAAAATGTGGCATATATACACCATGGAATACTATGCAGCCATAAAAAAAGATGAGTTCATGTCCTTTGTAGGGACATGGATGAAGCTGGAAACCATCATTCTCAGCAAACTATCGCAAGGACAAAAAACCAAACACCGCATGTTCTCACTCATAGGTGGGAATTGAACGACGAGAACACTTGGACACAGGAAGGGGAACATCACACACTGGGGCCTGTCGTGGGGTGGGGTGATGGGGGAGGGTTAGCATTAGGAGATATACCTATAAATGATGAGTTACTGGGTGCAGCACACCCACATAGCACATGTGTACATCTGTAACAAACCTGCATGTTATGCACATGTACCCTAGAACTTAAAGTATAATAAAAAATAAAAATAAAAAAGGTATGGAGTATATAAGTTCAATAAGATATAAATAAACAGAGATAAAGCAAATCCTGTAATATAGAAAGCCCTATATTATTGCAACGTGTATATGCATAAACTTGTTGTCAGTTTTCACCCTTTGATGATTAATGCCTTAAGATGATTATGTCTATAGTTCATTAAGACACCTTCTTACAGACAGAAATGTCCCTAGGTATAAGAACCACATCTTTATGAAGGAAAATAACACATGAGGGAGTTATTACAGAGTTGAGGGCATTGAGAGGTGAGAAAGAAACAAAAAGGACAACAGCCCTGTGAAAATGAAAGCAGAACCTGAACACAGGTTAATAACCACTAAAAATAATTCAAGAAATGTAAATTTTTATTAACAATGTTAATTATTGTTTAGTGAATATTGATTCATTGAAAATAACACAGACATTTTTTCTAATTTCTGAGTCAGAGAGAAAGTGGTCCTTGCTAAGTGAAAGCAATATTAAATTAATGTGAACTGTTAAGAATAACATGATACATATGTCTAAACTTTTTTTCTAAAAAATATTTATTGATAATATATTTTTCGGTGTGCTTTGAGAAGTCTATGAATTCATTCTTTTCTGAAACTCCAAAAATGCACAGTTGTCTCTAATTTTAAAATAGTAAAAATGTTATCTCATTACACAAAGAAAACATTTTTAAAGCCACATCTACTATCCATTGTAATAGCTACATGCATGTGTAATACAAGCATAATATATATAATATGCCTGGGAAGCATACACGCTGATTGCAGAATCCTGGTAACCTCTGAGAAGGTATAGAATTAGTGGGAATATTATTGAGCAGGAAGAACAAAGCTTCAGTTGTATTCAGAAAAATTTTTCTTTTCATTAACTAATAACTTTAAAGAAATTCAGGTATAATTCTATATGGTGAAAACATATTTTAAATGGCTATGTCAATCTGCTATTAGGGTAGAAATACACAGTCTTTCCATCATCCCAGAAAGTTGCCCTGGCCCTTAGCTGATCACCCTTTGCAGAAACAACCACTCATCTAAGTTGATGAATAGTTTTTGCCAGTTCGTATAGAATCATATGGCATATACTCTAAGGTCTTTAGCTTTTTGCACGTGGCTAAATTCTTTTGAAATTTATCCACATTGTTGGAACCATTGCTGTGTAATCTATTCATGACTACACAGTTTGTTTATCCATCTCCCACTGAAGGACTAGCTGTTTGTTTATCCATCTCCCATTGAAGGACATGGTTGTTTCTAGTTTGAGACTACTACAAATAAAAGTCCTACGATGTTATTTGTGCAAGAATATCTGAAGACATCATTTTTTCCTCTCTCGGATAAGACATAGTAATAGTGTTTGTGGCAGACGCACATTTAATATTTTCAGAAATCGCTAAACAGTTTTCTAGGGTACCATTTGGAATAACTTTACACTCCCACTAATGATGTATGAAAGTTTCTTGTTGTTCTATATCCTAATTTACATTTAGGTATTTTTTTCAGTCATTTTGATTTTGGCCATTCTAGTGTGTGTTTGATAGTACATCATGCTGGTTTTAACTCAACTAGGAAAGAGGTTGAAACTAACCCCTATATTCTTTAGCATTTATTTCTTTAAAGCCATGTATTTCTCATGGTTTAAATGCTCTAATTGTACAATTTCTGGCTCAAATTGTGCAACTTTTGATGAATGTACTTATTGTTCATCTATTTAATTATGTAAATTAGTAAGAAGACATTTTTGAGGCCCTAATACATTGATATGCTGTAACAAAGTGCTATAAGATATCAGACTTAAATAATGTTGGGAAAAAACTTAAAAGAAATAAAATTTTAAAATGACATTACATCACACTATCTTGCTTAGTCAATTTAAATAATATATATTATATTCTATAATAATATTTCCGTTGAAATAAGGAATAAGTATTTGAAAAATAGATTGTCAATAGCTCCTGTGAATAGAAATGTCTTATGTCTTCCAGTGAATTATTAACTTTTACAGGAACAAAAAAGCAGAAAAAGTTCTTAATTTTATAACACAATTGAGAGTAAAATTACACTTGACTTTGTGCCACTGTAGAATTGACAGCATTGGATAATTTGTATACAAAAATTGCCATTTATTTTTAAATACATAATACTAGTAGTGAACAGAGATTTTAAAGAGAAATTTTCCCAAGTCCTAAAAACAAGAGTTCTTAAATTCAAATATATGCTTTGATGATAGCATCTGTATTCTGTTTTTTCTTTTTAGTGTATTTTCCTTCCCTTATTTCATACATGATAAGATGGTAAACTATTGTTTCACAACTTGTTTGTAATTTTAAACTCAGAGTAGAGCATGTGTTTATAATTTGAAGTACTGCCACTAACCATGTGCGAATTTCACGGTAACTATATACCAGGAATACCAGAGGGAAAATGTCCTCTAATTATACCAGAAGAGGAAGAGAGGTTCAGGGAAGTTGTGCGATGGGTCTACAGATACAGTTGTACTCAGATCAGGAAATACTGACTTTTATTACAGTGATTTTTTTTTTTTTTACATTTAAGGACACTCTGTTAGCTTGTCACCCCACTTCTTTATCGAGTAATTTTTTCAATTTTGACTTTGAGCCAAATATATCTGAGCTGAGGGTGTGTGTGTTTGTGTGTGTGTAAAAATATATTTGATCACCTTAAGGAAATTTTGTAAGCTAATTTGAGGAAATTATTATATGAAATAGATTAACTCAATAAACAACATACAAGTAAATACAAACATAACCCAGAACAAGATAGACTAGATACTGTTAATGTAATCAATTTGTCCTCCAAATTTTCTCGTATACTTGTAGACATGGTAACCACCAAACATGGATAAAGGTAATGAATAGAAGCTTGATATCATTTGAGATTTAGTAATGTATGTATGGTAAAGTAGCTCATTCATTTTTTGTCAAGCATGTACTGATTATTCTATGTTCTAAAGCACTGAGGTACTTGTAATACAAAGAGAATTGAAACATATTTCCTTATTTCAAGGAGCTTATTTTCTGATGAAGTTATATAAGATACGTTATCCAAAATATTTTAATAAAAATATGCTTAAAAGTCAAAACATTATGAGAACACCTAAAATGTACGTATCACCCAGACTGAACAAACTTGGTAAACATCATGGTAGGTTCTATAATACCAGAGGAGTTACAGAAAGGAGATGAGGAAATGCAAAGTGTTGGAAATCTGTACAGATATGACAGCACAATGGGAATGTTGAGTGTAAGAGCGGGGTAAGAGCTGAGGGTAAGGGCTAGCGGGGGCTTAATATTTTTTATATTATTATGAGGGCTGAAGGCAGCATGAAAGACTTCAAGCCAACATGTGATATGGGAAGCATTGCATTTTAGATTGATAACCATGGAATCAATGCAGAGAAAAATTCGAGGGAAGGTGGGCAAAAGAGCAGATGACATGGCCATTAAGGGAGGTAAAATTATAAGGACTCATTTGCAAAAAAATGCGTTAGGAATAATTTAAAAACAAGCTGGTGAAAAGTTTAAAGGAAAAAGTGATAGACTATTAAGCAGCCAAACATTTTTTGTGTGTATGTCTGCTGTGAAAGGAAAAAATTATTAAATATGCCTCACTATTTTATCATTTATAAAAAGCTGAACGTGTTACTGTTTGTTATAATTTCATAACTCAGTTTTGTGCAAGTAAAATCACAGCTAATGCTATTAAATATGAACTATATTTGAATTACACACATCAAAATTAAAATACATTATGAGGGATGTTTAATCCCCACAGAACTTATGATGCTCATATTTTACCTAACTGAAAAATATGATAATTATTAGCAGAGTTCTCCTGAAATTTTCAGTCAAGAATAATAAAATTTTACAGAAGAATATTATATTTGAAAACCCAAAGGTTTTTTTTCTGCTAAAAATTTTAATCATCAAACACCTACAGAATTGATAATGACTATGTATTTTACTTGCTTCTTGTCTGCTGTTTTTCTTCATTTATTTGTATTAAGAATGCAGTGTGTTATTTAGAATGTGAATTATTAAGTATATTGTAATGAAATTTTCCAACAGGCAGACACTATACAGAATTTTCAACCACATTATTATGCATGATAATTATTGATGTTATAATAATTATTGAGATTTACAAAGGTACAGTTAGATAGGAAGATAATTAATAACAATTATTGTGTCACTCATAAATTTAAATAAAAGATGTAATCATGGCATTGTTTTTCTCTGTTATATTTAAATTAGAATAAGGCAGATGCCTTGATAAAGTGGTCATTCTCTGCCAAAGTATCACATTTGCTGGCTTTAAAAGAAAAATCCAAAAGATACAATCATAATCATTTGAAAAAAACAAAAATAAAATAAATATTTTCTTCTTTTTAAATAGTTAAAAAGTGAAGTAAGCCAGGCACAGAAAATAAATACTTCATGATTTCCACTCATATGTGGAATTTAAAAAGTTCTTCTTATAAAAGTAGAGAGTGAAATAGTGGTTACCAAAGGATGGGAATAGTAGGGGGAATGGGAAGATGGGAAAACATTGGTCAACAGCAACGGTTCACTGTTAGGTAGAAAGAATAAGTTCTGTTCATGTCCTTCGCCCACTTTTTGATGGGGTTGTTTGTTTTTTTCTTGTAAATTTGTTTGAGTTCATTGTAGATTCTGGATATTAGCCCTTTGTCAGATGAGTAGGTTGCGAAAATTTTCTCCCATTTTGTAGGTTGCCTGTTCACTCTCCCACCACAGTCCCCAGAGTGTGATATTCCCCTTCCTGTGTCCATGTGATCTCATTGTTCAATTCCCACCTATGAGTGAGAATATGCCGTGTTTGGTTTTTTGTTCTTGTGATAGTTTACTGAGAATGATGATTTCCAATTTCATCCATGTCCCTACAAAGGACATGAACTCATCATTTTTTATGGCTGCATAGTATTTCATGGTGTATATGTGCCACATTTTCTTAATCCAGTCTATCATTGTTGGACATTTGGGTTGGTTCCAAGTCTTTGCTATTG
Source organism: Homo sapiens (assembly GCF_000001405.40). NCBI lineage: Eukaryota > Metazoa > Chordata > Mammalia > Primates > Hominidae > Homo > Homo sapiens. The sequence continues at coordinate 150,949 of NW_013171801.1, read as the reverse complement.
TGAATAATGCCGCAATAAACATACGTGTGCATGTGTCTTTATAGCAGCATGATTTATAGTCATTTGGGTATATACCCAGTAATGGGATGGCTGGGGAAGGGGGAGGGATAGCATTGGGAGATATACCTAATGCTAGATGACAAGTTAGTGGGTGCAGCGCACCAGCATGGCACATGTATACATATGTAACTAACCTGCACAATGTGCACATGTACCCTAAAACTTAAAGTATAATTAAAAAAAAAAAAAAAAAGAAAGAATAAGTTCTGGTGTTTGATTGCGTAGTGGGTTGACTACAGTTAACATCAATATATTGTGTCTTTCAAAGTAGCTGGAAAGAGATTTATAGATGTTCTCATCACAAAGAAATTATAAATGTTTACAGTGATGGATGTGTTAATTACCCTGATTTGATTATTGTACAATATATACAAGTATCAAAACATCACTTTGTTCTCCATAAGTATGTACAATTATTGTGTGAGTGATAAATTTTAAAAACTTAAATACAATTAATAAATAAAACAGGGAAGACTGTTGTGTGCTTTTAATTTTGCAAAATAAACTTTTTAACGACAGAAATAAAATAAAAATAGGAGACAAAACTTAAATGTGGGAATAAAATAACTTAGAAAGAGTCAAGTGATACTTTAATACAATAAATAATTTTGTGAAAAGATCATTTATTCTAAGCAAGAGATTATACACATACACAAACACATACACAAACACGCACACATACAAACATATGTATATACATACACATACATATACATACTCACATCCTGAATTTACCTTGAGGACAAAGTATAAATTAATTATTATATATTATAAGTATAATTTTAAATATACATTATATTTTAGGATAATAAAGTCTTCCAAGTTTTCACCACAATGAATTAGTAACTCATTCTCCCCATTGGAAATCGACATTTTTCTGGATCATAAGGAAATAAATACATATATACGATTGTGAGAGCAAGATAATTAAATCAAGTTATTTTGGCTTCTAACTTTTAAGTATCATAAATATGCAGGTTCCCTACGCATAACTATTGGAATATGTCTGACTTTTAAAATATTCACTGCTATGACATTTTAAAAATGCATTTCAACATGGTTGATTACATTCTTTTTCTTCCAGTTTTTATTCCTTTCTTCCTCCTTGCTTCCTTTTTTGTCTTTCTTCTACCCACTCTTTCCTCCTCCCTCTCTTTCTTCTTTCCTCCCTTCCTGTATTTCCCCCCATATTTTTCCGAACAATAGATATTAAACACTGTTATAGGCACTAAGGTCACATTGCTGGGTAGATAAAAAGCAATATATGAGTAGGGGGAATATAACAAATTTGAAATTAAAATTAAAATGATGTTGCTTTTATCTAAATGAAGATATTACCTCAGATTGTTAGGATGGCTATTATTAAAAAAGACAAGTGTTGGCAAAGATATGGAGAGAAAGGAACCCAGTACACTGTTGGTAGGAATGTAAATTAGTACAGTCATTATTGAAAGCTGTATGGATGTTTCTCAGATCACTAAAAATAGAACTACCATATAATCCAGCAATCCTACTTATAAGTGTATACAAGGTAAATAAAATAACTATCTCAAAAATAACTATATTTCTATGTTCATTGAGGCATTATTCACATAGCCAAAATACAGCATCAAATTAAGTGTCCATAAACGGATGAATGGATAAAGAAAATATGGTATATATACACAATGGAATACAATTCAGCCTTAACAAAGAAGGAAATTCTATCACTTTTGACAACATGAATAAATTTGGAGGACATTATACTAAGTGAAATAAGCCGGGCACAAAACGGCAAATAGTGAGATTTCACTTATGTGTGGAGTCGAAAAAAGCCAAACTCATAGAAGCAGAAAATAGAACCAGGGTCTGGGGTGGTGGTGGTGGGTTGGGAAGACATTTGTCAAAGGATACAAAATTTCAGTTAGATAAGAGAAATAAGATCAAGAGATCTATTGTACAACATGGTAATTACAGTTAAAAACAATGCGTTATATACTTGAAAATTGTTAACAGAGTAGATTTTACATGTTCTTATCACAAAAAAATAGTATGTGAGATAATAAATGTTAGCTAGATTTAGCCATTTTACAATGTATACATATATCAAATATCATGTACAGCTTAAGTATATACATTTTTATCCATTTAAATAAATAAATAAATATATAAACAAAATGTAAAAAATTTAGATGGCACCTGCTTTTATAGAACTGAAGACATAAACCGCATTGAAACAAGGCATCCTGTATTTTATGTTTGGACACCAATTATAGGTATTATTAAGTTAATTGGTTTAAGACTGAACAAGATAGGAAGTGTGTGATTATGTTTGATATTAAGAAATAAGAACTGCCAACTCTAAATACAGGAGTGGCATTCTTATTTTATCTATAATCTTATATTCCATGACCAGTGGGTGACCTTAGAAAACTAATGTACCAGAACATGTACTGCTATTTTTCAATAAAGAAAGAATGATTCATTTTCCTCCAAGACCAAATTCTATGTTCTTGAAAATGTCAAGGTGTTTCATTTACAAGACACAACTCAACAAAGAGATATTGATCCCGTAAGTGTGGTTCCATAAGAATACAACACATGGCTAACTTTTATCATGTGTTTTCCTGTTTTATGTTTTTAAATTTCCTCTGGTGACAAGGTGATCTTTAACCATCAATCCATGCTAATGAGAGAAACCCAAAGCTGGAACGTCCTCAACAAATCATTCTGTCAAATTATTTTTGTCAAATCATTTTGACAAATTCAACAAGTTCATTTTTATGCCCCTAAGCAGCTTAAGTCTATGTTATATTATTGTTTTATTTTACTGTAATATAGAAACATGATACTTGACAAGTTTATAACAACCTTTGAATGCAATTAGACGCAGATATGGTTTTGAGTACAGGAGATTCAAGTGAAAAGATATGACATTGCCCCAAAGATGCTTACTTATTATTCTGGAGGACAAACAAATACTATGCAGAGATGACTAGGAGATAGGTGAGTGTATTTGGGAGTCATGGGTTACAGATGCTAAGTAAAATCATTCATGTGGGCAAGATTATATAGGAAAAATGCAGACTCAGATAAGAAGTAGGCTGAGATCAGAACCCTAGAGAACATTAATGTTATATACTCGAGGAAGAAGAGGAATCCACGAAAATACCTGAAAGAAGTAATCAAATAAAGAGGCTTATCAGAAGAATTACCAAGCAGAAAAGCATAACAAGTAAAACCAAATAAAATAGAGGCTACAGGGGCAAATTACTTAATCTCTTTCACTGGCAATTTTTCCATCTACAAGATGTTGTAATAACAGTTGTAAGAATAAATTGGATATATGGTTTGCTATTATTTTCTCACATTCCTGTGGTTGACTTTATTTTATCAGTTATTTCCTTTACTGTGCAGAAAGTGTTTTGTTTGATGTAGTATCACTTGTTTTTGCTATCTCTCTATCTATTTATTTATTTGTTTTTGCTTTTGGTGTTGTATCTAAGAAATCATTGCTAAGACTAATGTTGTGGAACTTTTTACCTATTTTTTTCTTCTAGTAGTTTTACAGTTTCAGGTCTTACATTTAAATCCTCAATCCATTTTGAGTTTATATTTGTTTATGACATATGATAAAGGTACGATTTAATTTTTTTGCATGTGGATGTCTACTTTTTCTAACACCATTATTGATGAGACTATCATTTCCCTATGGTATATTCTTGGTACTTTTGTCAAAGATTAGTTGACCTTATATGCTTGGGTTTATCTCCAGTCTATTAAACCCTGTTTCACTGGTTTATCTTTGTTTTTATGCCATGCTAACATTTTGATAACTATAGCTTTGTAATATATTTTAAAAATACTCCAGTAAAATATTTAGTATATAGTAGATATTTTGAATGACTCCAGTTTTGCTGTTTTTGATCAAGATTGCTTTAGCTATTTGTGATCATTTGTGGTACTACAGAAACTTTAGGATTGTTTTTCTATTTCTGTGAAAAGTGCCATTGGAATTTGGATAGAAATTTCACAGAATCTGCAGATCATTTTGGATAGTATGGATGTTTTGACATTATTGAATTTTCCTATCCATTAGCATGGAATATCTTTCCATTTATTTGTGTCGTCTTCAGTTTGTTTCATTGACGTTTAATGTACAGCTCTTTCACTTTCTTGATTAATTTATGTGTTTCATTCTTTTTGATACTATTTCAAATGAGATTGCTTTCTTAATTTCTTTTCTTTTGGATAGTTTATTGTTATTATATAGAAGCACAACTAATTTTTGTATGGTGATTTTGTATCTTGCAAATTTCCCTTACTTGTTTATTAGTTCTAACAGTTTTTGAGTAGAATCTTTAGGGTTTTCTATATTTAAGGTCATGTCGTCTGCAAACAGTGGCAGTTTAATTTTTCCCTTTTCTATTTGGATTCTTTTTATTTATTTTTCTTTATTAATTGCTCTGGCTAGGGCTTTAAGTACCATGTTAAATATTATTGGTGAGAGTTGGCACCTTATCTTGATCTTTTTCTTGATCTTATGCGAGAAGTTTTCAACTTTTCATTGTTGAGCATGGTGTTAGCTGTGGGCTTGCGATCTGTGGATTTTATTGTATCAAGCTATGTTCCTTCTATACCTAACTTACTGAGCATTTTTATTATAAAAGGATGTTAAATTATGGCAAAAGCTTTTTTCGTTATATCTCGAGATGATCTACTGATTTTGTTCTTCATTCTGGGAGTGTGGTGTATGTATCACATTTATTGATTTTAATATGTTGAAACATTCTTGCATCCCAGGGATAAATCCCACTTATTCGTGGTGCATGATCCTTTTAATATGCTATTGAATTTAGTTTGTTAGTGTTTATGGTAATCAGGGATATTGCCCTGTATTTATTTTCTTGTAGTATCCTTGTGTGGCTTTAGTTATCAGGATAGTTGCTTGTTAAAATGACTTTGGAAAGTTTTTTCTCTAATTTTTTTGCGAGAGTTTGAGAAGGTTTGGTATTAATTCTTCTTTAAATAATATAATTCATTGGCGAAGCCATCAAACCCGGGTCTTTGATAAGAGATTCAACCTTTCTTATTCCATTATAGGTCTATCAGATTGTCTATTTCTTCATAATTCAGTCTTGGCAGGTTGTATGTTTCTGGAAGTTTAACCATTCCTTCTAGGTTACCCAATTTGTTGGGGTATAATTGTTCATAGTAGACTCTTGATCCTTTGTATTTCTCCCTTCAGATCTACTAATATTTGCTTTATTTATTTAGGTGCTTTGATGCTGGGTGTATATATATTTACTATCATTATATCCTCTTGCTTAATTTACCCCTTTTTCATTACGTAGTTACTTTTTTTTTTTTTTTTTTTTCCAGACAGAGTCTCGCTCTGTCGCCCAGGCTGGAGTGCAGTTGTGCGATCTCGGCTCACTGCAAGATCCACCTCCCGGGTTCACGCCATTCTCCTGCCTCAGCCTCCGGAGTAGGTGGGACTACAGGCACCCGCCACCACGCCCCGCTAATTTTTTGTATTTTTTTAGTAGAGACGGGGTTTCACCGTATTAGCCAGGATTGTCTCGATCTCCTGACCTCGTGATCCGCCCGTCTCGGCCTTCCAAAGTGCTGGGATTATAAGCGTGAGCCACTGCACCCGGCCCATTTTGTAATTACTTTCCTTGTCTCTTTGTGCAATTTGGACTTACAGTTTATTTTTTCTGATATTAGTATAGCTATCATTGTTTTCTTTGAATTTCTATTTGCGTAGAATATCTTTTTTCATCCAGAAAGCTGGTCTTTAAATTCAGAAATAACTTGCCTTAAGTTTCTGCAACACTCTTTGCTGGAAACAGTGATCCTAGACCAGTTTCTTTATTTCTTTAAGCATAAGTATCCTTATAGGAGTATATGAGTTAATTTCTGTAGAGCACTTTGTCTACTGCCTGTCATGAATATCAGACTCAATAAACATTCTACTAAGTATTTATGTTAATGTGGCTAAGGAAACTTGATTGTAGACTATTATAGTGGTATATATGAACACTTTTTGTTCATACAGAAAGTGATTGTGTTTGCAGAAAGTCAGTTAGTGTCTAGTATTGCATGGAAAGGATTGTTCATGGGTGATGCAAAAGGGAGACTGCTACTAGAAGTATTTCCACAAAATATGAGGAAGAGATCTGGATAACAATGAGTTATTTGGAGAATCTCATTTTGAATTGTTCAAAGACTGTTTTTTTTCTAAATATTTTCAAAAACATTTCTAGTGTATGCATGATAACAATTATTTTAATATTGTCTGTAGGTTATTTGACTGCTTCCTTCTGCTATTCTACATACTAAGTGAAAGCAGAAGTCCTTTTAATAACATTTATTTTATTAAACATGTTTTTGGAAGAAAATGGCCAAACCTTAATATTTATAAAATATGGGTTATGGGTTTACCGTGTTTCTTAAAATACTTTTTTCTATATTCTATTGTATACACATGAAATATTTCCTTAACAAATATTTTTGATAAGAAATTAATCTAAAAGAAGTTCTAGGGGAAAACAATTAGAATTTTTAACTTTATATTAATCATAACTGAAATTTTAATTAATTCAGGGAATATTTCTTTCCAACATTTTCAATGTAAAAATTAAAGAAAATTATAAGCTGATTATGTGGATTATACTTTTATCTGCTCCGCTTGCCCTGGCTTCATTCGAAATGCTGGAGCACAATAAGAATTTCATTATAGGTTTCTGTGCTAAAAAATTAGCACATTTACCCCAGTGTAGCATCAGACAAAATCTGGGACATCTGGTTACAGTGATTTGGTTAGACAGTGATATACGTAGGAAATATAAAGAAAGATTCTTTGAGAAAACAGTTGAATTCACATGTGGTTTTGATTTATTCCTTTTGTACATGTAGCCATATTCTGCTCAGAATTGGAGCCCCTCCACAGTGGTTACTGGTCACATCTATTTTATAAGGAATATATTTAAGAATTTTCATTTGTTGAGTATACTCATTCAATGAAGTATTATGTCTGAAATGGAATTTGTTTGTTTGACTAGTTTTAACTTTCTCCGGTAGAACTTTTCTAGTTCTTACATTAGGCTCCGAAGTTATGAAACCAGGAAATTATTTGCATCTTCTATAATTTTTTGGGAATACTATTTTCTTTGAGTTATTCCCACAGGCTATGCTTCAGAAACTAAACTGCTTAATTTGTCACATTGAAAATGAATTTGTGCTAAGGAATTTTTATCACCACATGAAGTACTTAATTTTAGTGACAACTATTTGAAAACCACAGAATGTAAATTCTATTGTGAGAAGATAGATAAGATTTTTGAGAAAACAAATATTTCTCTAAACACTTGGCCCTTGAACAGCATAGGTTTGAACTGCGTGGGTTTACTTATATGTGGATTTTTTTCAACCATATCCAGAGTATTTGCGCATGCGAAACCCTGCAGTGGAGGGCCAAATTTTCCTATACACACTTCCACAGGGGCAGCTGAAGGACATGAGAGTACACAGTTTTTGGTATAAACAGGTGTTGTGGAACCAATCCCTGTGTGTACTGAGGGGCAACTGCATATATACTTACGTATATTAAAAATGTAGTGGTGTGTAAATTTGTTTTTCTGGAAATTTAATATCTGCTTAAGAAAATATTATGTCACTTCATGAATACTGGAAAAATAATACGACATTGTGATTTCTTTCAGCAGTGTTTTGTAGGTTTCCTTGTAGATGACTTTCACATCCTTGGTTAGGTATATTCTTAAGTATTTTATTATTTTTATTTTTTTGCAGCTATTGTGAAAAGGGTTGAATTCTTGGTTTGGTTGCTGCTGGTTTATAACAGGGTTACTAATTTGTGCACATTAATTTTGTATCCTGAAGCTTTGCTGAATTCATTTACCAGTTACAGGAGCTTTTTAGATGAGTCTTTATGGCTTTCTAGGTTTACAATCATATCATCAGCAAACAGCGACAGTTTGACTTCCTCTTTACCGATTTGGATGCCCTTTATTTCTTTCTCTTGTATGATTGCTCTGGCTAGGACTTCAGTACTATACTGAGCACCAGTGGTGAGAGTGGGCATCCTTGCCTTGTTCCAGTTCTCAGGGGGAATGCTTTCAACTTTTCCCAGTTCAGTATAATGTTGGCTGTGGGTTTGTCATAGATGGCTTTTATTCCTTTAAGGTATGTGCCTTGTGTGCCGATTTTGCTTAGGGTTTTAATAATAAAGTGAGAGTGGATTTTGTCAAATGCTTTTCTGTATCTATTTAGATGATCATGTGTTTTTTGTTTTTAATTCTGTTTATGTCATGTATCACATTTATTGATTTATGTATGTTAAACCATCCCTGCATCCCTGACATGAAACCCACTTGATCGTGGTGGATTATCTTTTCCATATGCTGTTGGATTCAGTTTGCTAATGTTTTGCTGAGGATTTTTGCATCTATGTTCAGCAGGGATATTGGTCTGTAGTTTTCTTTTTTTGTTATGTCCTTCCCTGGTTTTGGTATTAGGGTGATACTGGCTTCATTTTAATTTAGGGAGGATTCTCTCTTTCTCTGTCTTTTGGAATAGTGTATATAGGATTGGCGCCAATTCTTATTCAAATGTCTGATAGAATTCAGCTGTTAATCTGTCTGGTCATGGACTTTTTTTGTTGTTGTTGGCTCCTTTTTTTTTTTTTTAATTACCATTTCAATCTCGCTGCTTGTTGTTGGTCTGTTTAGAGGTTCTATAGAAAAATGCTCAACGTCATTAATTATCAGGGAAGTACAAATTAAAACCACAATGTGATACCACTTTATTGCTGCAAGAATGGCCATAATGAAAAAATAAAAAAATAAAAAAATAAAAAAGATGTTGGCATGGCTGCGGTGAAAAAGGAACAATTTTACACTGTTGGTGGGAATGTAAAGTAGTACAACCACTATAGAAAACAGTGTGGAGATTCCTTGAAGAACTAAATAAGGAACTAAAAGTAGATCTATCAATTGATCTAGCAATCCCATTACTAGGTATTTACCCAGAGGAAAGGAAGTCATTATACGAAAAGGACACTTGCACACACATGTTTATAGCAGCACAACTTGCAACTGCAAAAAAATGGAACCAGCCCAAATAGCATTCAATGAGTGGATAAGATAATGTGGCATGTATATGTATATATATATACCATGGTGATATTGTTTGGCTGTGTCCCTACCCAAATCTTATCTTGAATTGTAGCTCCTATAATCCCTATGTGTCATAGGAGGGACCTACTGGGAGGTTTTTGAATCAGGATGGTGGGTTTCTTCTGTGCTGTTCTCGTGATAGTGAGCAAGTCTCATGAGATCTGATGGTTTTATAAAGTGCAGTTTCTCTGCACATGTTCTCTTGCCTGATGCCAAATAAGATGTGTCTTTGCTCCTCCTTCACCTTCTGCCATGATTGTCATGTGGAACTGTGAGTCCATTAAACCTCTTTTTCTTTATAAATTACTTAGTCTTGGGTATTTCTTCATAGCAGTATGAAAATGAACTAATACACATGAAATACTACTCAGCCATAAAAAGGAATGAAATAATGACATTCACAGCAACCTGGATAGAATTGGAGACTATTATTCTAAGTGACATCACTCAGGAATGGAAAACCAAACATTGTTTGTTCTCACTCATATGTGAGAGCTAAGCTATGAGAACGCAAATGCATAAGAATGATACATTGGACTTTGGGGACTCGTGGGAAAGGGTTGGGGTGGCGAGGGATACAAGACAAGGTTATTTTAATCAACCTCTTTCCAATATATATTGGATACATTGTACACTGCTTGGGTAATGGATGCACCAAAATCTCAGAAATCACTACTAAAGAACTTATTCGTGTAACCAAACACCATCTGTTTCCCCAAAACATATTAATATCAATCAAAAATATCATAAAAATAAATAAATAAAAAAACTGGAGAAATAATAAGATATTGTGATCTCTGATTACATTTGTTTTCTCTCATTGTCTTTTTTCCTATTCAAAACCATTTATAAATTATAGAATTGGATGTGAGCTTATATTCTAGATTGGTTTTCTGTCCAGTACACAAATCAACTTTTCATTAATCCTTCAAGTTAGTCTTTTTATATCCACTTCAAGACAGGCAAAACTTGGAAATTTGTAGGTTTTCAGGGCAGCCCTTTCCATTGTGTCTTGCCTTAAAGGCTAAAATTTATTCCCATCTGAGGGAAATGCAAGATATAGCATCATCATCATTGGTTTTGGCATCTAATAGATCTGAATATGAGTTTTATCTCTAATAATTTACTAATTGTGTAATTTTAGAAAAGTTGATTAATACTGCTATACTTTGCTTTCCTTATCTGCAAAATGGGGGTAATTATACCTTTTTAGATGGTCAATTTTGGGGATTTAATAAAACAATTTGTGAGAAAATATGTAACTGGAGTAACCAGTTGTAAGTAACAATAGGTAATAGTAAGTAATAATCATACTTGCTGCAATTTTCAAGTATCTGCTCTAAGTCAAGCATTGTGGAAGGTGCTTGATATTTGCATTAGGTCTTCCTGCTATTTCTTTTTGACCTCTATTACACAAGAGAAAATTGGACTTCAGACAAAGTAAAGAAAGGTGGTAAAAATCATATCATTAAAAGTTTATACTCATTATTTAAAGAAAAATGAGTTGATAAGAAGGCCTAGTTGAGGTCCATCCCACTGATCAGAAAATACTTAACCCTGGGTTATTTTAATCAACCTCTTTCCAAAGAAAGCCACAAATGAAGTTAACTCCTAACTATTATTACTTAAGTTGTTATTTTTAAGGATAGCAAGTGATTTGAATGTCTGTACAAATCCTCGCTATCCTAAAGAATAATTTTTTAGAAACACTGTAATTGAACTTGAATATAAATAAAACTTCATCTTAGGTCATAGAGAGTGATATTTTCAAGTCCGAAAACTGAAATTTAGATAACAGAAATAACATCAGTGCCTTATTTTTTGACTATTTTGAAGCATGTCAATAAAAATCACATAAATACTTGCATCTTCTAGATTGCCCTTAGTGCCCAAGTGTGTAACTTGGAGAGGTAAACTTAAGGTCATTATACTGCCTCTGATTTATCATATCTAAAAGAGATTTGGTAATAATACCAGCTGAAAAGATTGTTGAGAGGCTTAAAGAAAATAAGACATGTTAAATACTTAGAACAATGCCTAGCACATAGAAAACACCTAGTAACACTAGCTACCTGTATTAACATTAAATAAAATTTACAATTTTACCACTGCTATACAGGAAAACATCCAATGTTAATATTTATTTGTCTGAAAACTAAATATCAGTAAGCTGAAATTTGAAATCTGAAGAGTAGCCTCTGTCATTAACCTCACCAAGTCCATTCAAATATTTATTATCTAAGTATATGATGGAACACTATTGCACCTAATTAAAGAAACTAAGGCAAGCGCGTTTCTGGTGACAAGAAAGGCCTAAGGCTTTAGCATGAGGAGTCCTTGAGCGCTATCCTGAACTTTCTTAAATTGCAAAGCAATCTAGCAGGATATCATCACACAACTTTTGACTGCTTCTTTCCTTCACTTGGGGTTAGGTTTGCTTCGCAGTCTGATGGCTTCTCCAGCCTTTCTTGACTTTCTTCCCATTTCCTTCTATACAGGTTGTTCCCTTAATAAAATCTTTGCACATTTAATGTAGTCTCGGCGCCTACTTCTTGGAGGACTCAGACTAATGCATGAGGGAAAAGTTAGTGATGATGGTTAGAACTGGTTGTATTTGTTCAATGATTTAATATTGGTGAAGTTGATCAGATTTGGTAAGAAATCTGATTGTCAGTAAAAATTGAAGAACACATAAATAGTTAAGAACTATTCCTAAGTTTTAACTAAGTACTATTCCTATCTTTATTTCAATTCTCCTGCAAAATATTTTCTTCGATGGTGAGATGCCAATACATCAATCTGTACCTGAATATTTCTAAAGAAGGACCATGCCAGGCCACTTCATAATCTTCTGAGTCAATGTTCATTGGGGAGGGAGGGATATGGGAATTTCCTGGGTTTTAACCTGAGGACTGAGAGTAAAATTTCAAATTGAGAATACTGAGGGAGAGCGGTAACAGTGAGTTATATCTTGCAGTTTTAAAATTGAGATTTTCTTTACGTGCCAAATAGGGAATTTATGGTGTGGTTCCAATAGCCAATCTCTGAGAAAGCACACAGTGCACACAGCTTTCACTGTTCCACCCCTTTCTGCACACAAATTAACTCCTTTCTCAACATCTGAGGCCCAACACTCTTCTTGCTTCTCTTTTTGACTATCACAACAGTGACCTTCTGCAGTGTAGAATTTGATTTCCAGCTCTGACTGTTTCTGACTGTTTTTCTCAAAGGGAGCTGGCTCTCTGACTTCTAGTTAATATTTTTCTCTGCCATTATCATTGTAATGTGATATAATCTATGGAAATTTTATTTACAAATATACATAGCCATTATATAATTGAAGTTTTTCTTTTCAAATACAATATATGAGAGAATTAGTGTCCATCGTGAATAAAGCTAAAACAAAAGATAAGATTTTATTTGGAATTTCAGGGTTTGCTTGCAGGCTTCAGACATCAGCATTTATTTGATTAAAAATAATTTCAAAGTTGAAAAAATTGTGATGATTTTTGTGCGTATGTGTGCATTGATTAACTACCCAAAATTTGCATGTCTCTCCTTCCTCAGTAAACATTGACTACCCAAAATTTGCATGTCTCTCCTTCCTCAGTAAACATTGACTGAAAAGATTATGAAATGACCTGGCATGGTCCTTCTTTAGAAATACTGCTGTACAGATTGATGTGCTGGCATCTTACTGTTGAAGAAAAACATTTTGCAGGAGAATTGAAATAGAGATAGACCATCCCGTCTATTACCCAAGAAAAGTTGATTCTTTATGATTATTAAGATAGAACAAAATTTCAAAGAAAATTAAATAGTCCAACACATACCATCATATGTATCTTCAAATATTATAAATGATTTTAAATTTATGCTGTTAATGCAGCTCAATGAATTAGACTGGAATTTGAATGCAGAGCAAATGTTCAAAGGTCAATTTGTTTTTAATGTCAATATAACACCTAGAATAATGCAAGCCATACACTATTTTCAAAATTACTGAGATAGAATGATACTTTTCAAAATAACTTGGAAGAAGTGTATGATAATACATGTTGCTAAATGCACAGAAGGATTTCTGAACAGAAAGAATTGTTGTGAATATAGACCACGTCAAATTTCCAATCAAGCCACGAACAAATGGAAATTGTTATATGTATGATTAGGTTGGTGCAAAAGCAATTGCAGTTTTTGCTATTGAAAGTAAACTATGTGTTAAACTTTTCTGAATAACTTTATGTTTTGATGTTTTCGAGTTCTATCTATTCAGTTATATCCTCTTGTAATAAAAATTTAATATCTAAAAATCCTGCTTAATTGGTTAAAAACCTGTCATGTATTATAAATACATGAAAGTTATATTTTCTAAACATACCCTCTTCTCTTGCTATTGACCTTATTTTCAGAATCAGCATTGGTCCCTGCACTAAATCTATATTATGAATGACTAAAGTGCATATAGTTTTCATGTATTTAAAATACACAAAAGACTTAGGAGTTTTTGTTCTAGCAGCTTTCAGATGGAAACTTATAATACCATGTTGGAGTTATTTCTATAACAAGTTATTTCTAATGTTTTTCTTCCACATATTTCCATAATAGGAAACTGACATGGCATCATTTTTATATGTTCAATTAATGTAATAAAACTTCAAAAATTATTATAGATGAGTAGATATAGGTGAAATCCTATTGCCTTATGAACATTTTGTAATATAATTTGAAGAAAATATTTACATAAAAGTAGTATAATTTAACACACATTGTATAGATAAATGCAAATCTATTAACATTCAGAGCACATAAAGTATTAGAGACTATTCAGGAAACCAGTAAGAATTTATTTTTTCAGTTTTTTCATATACTTACAGACATTGCAACAACAGGGCAATAATAAAGATAAAGATTAGAAATTGTTTGAGTCCTGATAAAGAATATATGATGAAACAGTAACTCTTTATTTCATTTATTTGTCAAACATGATGACTATCCTATGTACTAAAGCCCTGTGTTATGTACTAGATTCTCAAAGAAAAAAGGCTATTTCTCTGACTTCAAAAAGATTATTGTCCAATAGAGTTGATACAAATGAATACATCCCAAAAGTGCTCTTATAGAGATACTTATAAAATACTGTAATAACCAAAAATTACTTAGCCTGAGAAAAGAGGGGAATTATAGTAACACATATCTTTAGTAGTGTGTCATTGTTATCATTGTTAACACAGAGTTTGTGCTCTAATAATGAACGTTTTAGTGTAATGATTCTTAATTGATTTCTCTAATCAGTGATTAAGATCACTTCGTTAACAATGGCTTGGCTCTGAAGTTTTCAATCAGCTTTAGCTCTCTGCTATAACTAGTTAGATACAATTACTACTACAATAAATAATTTACTGTACATTTCAAAATAAATTTCAAAATTCTCATCTCAAAAGATGGTATTTGAGGTCATGTATATGTTAATGAGCTTCATTAATTATTACACATTTTATTTATAAATTATAACATCACTTTGTACCCCATAAATATATAGAATTTGTCAAATTTGTCAATTTGCAACCAAAACCAATATTTTTTTAAAGAAAGGGATATATATTAAATTGGATCCTACAGCTTCAGTAGAGTTACAGAGATAAGGGAGTAGAGAAAAGAAAGCTGTTGGGGGCTTGGAAGCCCCAAAAATAATAAAGAAACCTAAGATTTTGAAAGGGTGCAAAGCTCAGTGTGCCATAGGAATCGATGCCAGTAAAGAAGTCAAGAGCTGGGAGTACAGGGGTCAACAGGATAGACTCTTCAGAGCTTTCTGTGTGATGCTAAAGATTTAAGAACTTCTTTTGAGAAGTGTCTGTTCATGTGCTCTAACCGATTTTTGATGGGGTTATTTGTTTTTTGTTTGTTGATTTTTTTAAAGTTCGTCATAGGTTCTAGATATTATTCCTTTATTGGATGCATAGTTTGTAAATATTTTCTCCCATTCTGTAGGTTGTCTGTTTACTCCCTTTATAGTTTCTCTTGCTGTACAGATTCTCTTTAGTTTAATTAGGTCTCACTTGTTAATTTTTATCTTGTTGCAATTGATTTTGAGGACTTAGCCACAAATTCTTTGCCAAGGCTGATACAAGCAGCCAACAAACATACGACAAAATGCTCATCATCCCTAATAATCAGAGAAATGTAGACCAAAACAACGAGAAACCATCCCATACTAGGTAGAGTGACTTTTACTAAGAAGTAAAAAAATACCAGATGTTGGTGAGGCTGTGGAGAAAAGGAGACACATACACTGCTGGTGGTGGGAATGTAAATTAGTTCAATCACTACGGAGAACATTTTGGCGACTTCTCAAGGAACTAAGAGTTGAACTACCATTGGACCCAGCAATCCCATTACTGGGTATATGCCAAAAAGAAAATAAATCATTCTACAAAAAGACACATGCACCTGTATGTTCATCACAGTACTATTCACAATAGCAAAGATATAAAACATGAAAATATAAATTTGTATATATAAAATGAAATACTATGCAGCCATAAAAAAGAATAAAATCATGTTCTTTGTAGCAACATGGATGAAGCTGAAATCCATTATCCTAAGCAAATTAACACAGAAACAGAAAAACAAATATCACAAATTCTCACTTACAAATGGGAGCTAAACATTAGTTACACATGGACACAAAAATGGGAACAACAGACACTAGAGAATAGAAGATGGGGGGGGTGCAAGGACTGAAAAGCTTTTTATTGGATACTATGCTCACTACCTGGGTGATGAATTCATTTGTACTCTAAACTTCAGCATCATGCAATATAGCTTTGTAACAAACCTGCACATGTACCCTCTGATTATAAAATACACACAAGTTAAAAAAAATTAAGCCCTCATTACAGAAGACAAGGAGAGTCTTAGATGAGTTTTAGACAACATATATAATTTTAAAATAAGATTTTTTGAAAGATCTCTGTGGCACATGTAGGAGAATGAAACTGGATCCTCATCTCTCATCTTATAAAAAAAAATCAACTTTAGATGTACTTACATCTAAGACGTGAAACTATAAAAATTCTAGAAGATGACATTGGAAAAACCCTTCTAGATAATGGCTTAGGCAAACCATTTATGACCAATAACCCAAAAGCAAATGCAATAAAAACAAAGATAAATAGGCGGGAATTAATTAAACTAAAGAGCTTTTGCACCGCAAAAGGAAGATTCAGCAGAGTAAACAGACATCCCATATAGTAGGAGAAAATCTTCACAATCCATACATCTGACAAAGCACAAAGCACTAATATCCAGAATCTACAACGAACTCAAACAAACCAGAAAGAAAAAAAAAAAACAAAAAACAATCCCATCAAAAAGTAGGCTTTTGTCCTTGTGATAGTTTGCTGAGAATGATGGTTTCCAG
The DNA here is from genome assembly GCF_000001405.40 of Homo sapiens. Taxonomy (NCBI): domain Eukaryota; kingdom Metazoa; phylum Chordata; class Mammalia; order Primates; family Hominidae; genus Homo; species Homo sapiens. The sequence goes on along the minus strand of NW_013171801.1, from coordinate 134,290 downwards.
TCTCATCCATGTCCCTACAAAGGACATGAACACCGCATGTTCTCACTCATAGGTGGGAATTGAACAATGAGAACACATGGACACAGGAAGGGGAACATCACACTTCCGGGACTGTTGTGGGGTGGGGGGAGGGGGGAGGGATAGCCTTAGGAGATATACCTAAAGCTAAATGACGAGTTAATGGGTGCAGCAAACCAACATGGCACATGTATACATATGTAACAAACCTGCACATTGTGCACATGTACCCTAAAACTTAAAGTATAATAATAATAAATTTTTTAAAAAAAGGCTAAGGACATGAATAGACAATTCTCAAAAGAAAATACACAAATGGCCAACAAACGTAGGAAAAAGTCCTCAACATTACTAATGGTCAGGGAAATGCAAATCAAAACTGCAATGTGATATCACCTTACTCCTGCAAGAATGGCCATAATAAAAAAATCCAAAAATAATAGATGTTGGCATGGATGCAGTGAACAGGGAACACTTCTACACTGTTGGCGGGAATGTAAACTAGTACAACCACTATGAGAAACAGTGTGGAGATTTCTTTCTTTTTTTCTTTTATTTATTTATTTATTTTTGAGATGGAGTCTCGCTCTGTCGCCCAGGCTGGAGTGCAGTGGCGTGATCTTGGCTCACTGCAAGCTCCGCCTCCCGGGTTCACGCTATTCTCCCACTTCAGCCTCCCGAGTAGCTGGGACTACAGGCACCCGCCACCACGCCCAGCTAATTTTTTGTACTTTTAGTAGAGATGGGGTTTCACCATATTAGCCAGGATGGGCTTGATCTCCTGACCTCATAATCTGCCCGCCTCGGCCTCCCAAAGTGCTGAGATTACAGGCATGAGCCACTGCGCCAGGCCGGAGATTTCATAAAGAACTAAAAATAGAACTACCATTCAATCCAGCAATCCCACTACTGGGTATCTACCTAGAGGAAAATAAGTCATTATACAAAAACGTACTTGCACACGCATGTTTATAGCAGGACAATTCGCAAATGCAAAAATGTGGAACAAACCCAAATGTCCATCAATCAAGGAGTGGATAAAGAAACTGGTGTGTGTGTGTATGTGTGTATCTATATCTATATCTATCTATATCTATATCTATATCTCTATATATTGATATATATTCTATTGTGTATGTGTATATATATATATACACACACACTGGAATACTACTCAGCCATAAAAAGGAATGAATTAATGGTGTTCACAGTGACCTGGATGAGATCGGAGACTATTATTCTAAGTAAATAACTCAGGAATGGAAAACCAAACATCGTATATTCTCACTTATAAGTGGGAACTAAGCTATGAGGATGCAAAGGCATAAGAATGACACATGGACTTTGTGGACTGGGGGAAAAGATGGAAAGATGGTGATGGACAAAAGACTATAAATTGGGTTCAGTGTATACTGCTCGAGTGATGGGTACACCAAAATCTCACAAATCACCAGTAAATAAATTACTCATGTAACCAAATACCTCGTGTTCTCTGAAAACCTATGGAAATAAACATTTTAAAAAGTGGTCATATTTGCCATCACTGAGATATAAGAACAATATTCTTTTCAGAAAAGTGCAAATGAAATTTCTAAAAATAAAGATCTCTGTGGCCACAATGTAGAAAAAGATTACAGAAAATAAAAGAAGATAATAGGATTACCATTTAGTTTGGGAATAGACTGGTAGGAGATTATGAGAGCTTGTTCACAGACAATGTATTAGAATGATAAGTAAGGAAAAGATTGAAAAAATGTTTCACAAGATAGAAGAAACAAGATAACAGTTAATAGATGAAATTATAGAAATAGAATTTTCATGTACTGTAAAGATTGTATTGTTGTATTGTTGAATATTAGGTAATACTTCAAAATATTTTAGTAAAACAAATTTGTGCAATTTGGAACTCTTTGATATATTTTCATATTTCTGTAGTATGATATATATATATATATATATATATATATATATATATATATATATATATATACTGCTTTTTTCTGAGTTCTAATACTATCCAAATTAAAATATATTTTGATGGGAATATTGTCACAGAAGTGACAAGATTGTCACATTTTTTTTTCAGAAAAATGTAAAGAAATTTATCAATGAGTTTAATATGTATTTTTTGTCAATAAAAACAGTATACTAGAAACATTTTAAACTTGAAAATCGAGAAAAAATTCTTGTCCTAAAAAATTGTAATCATTAAATATTTAAAGTAGAACTTGTAATATATTTTTCCAAAGGTGACAATCGTAAATGTTTAAAAAAGGTAGTGGTTCATCCTTTATATCTAATTCACATGTTAAATAAAACTAATTTAATTGGCACATGGTATTCAATATGCAGAATAAGCAAAACTGACTTCAATGCAGAAAGTGATGAGAAAAAAGAAGAAAATATTTTAGATATGGAAATAAAGTAGTTTTGAAATGCTATGTTAAACTTTGAAGCAATAAGTAAACTTGCAAAAAAAATACATTCCTGCTGACTAGGAGATCATTTGTATATAAATTTTGAATTTCATCTTGTTAACAATAAATAATAACATTATTTAACACACATTTATGTTATAAAAAGTTTATGTTATATCACAGCAATAGAGGCATCAATTTCTTCATTGTTTCTGTAGTTTATATAATAATGTTAATGTTGACTAACACATACCTAGATCACAAGCAAACCTTTCTATTGCTATATATAAAGATATATATATGTAAAGATGACTTTACATATATATGATGACTTTATATTCTTATATACCTGCAGAGGTGTTCATGGTACCTTTGGTAGTTTTAATTTTTTTTAACTATTCTAATTAGTGGAAACAAATGTCACACTTCCAACTTACACTAATGAGAATAGTTAGAGTTTAGAGAGTCCTAGAAGAGAGTCCAAATCCTGGAAGTCTATTTCATTATCTGCAAAAGAGTCTGAGTTAAAAATATAATCATGTCTCATTTTATTATAATATTCTTATACATATTTTCTTATCTATAAGGTCATCATTTTTTCAAATAGTTTTTTTGGGTATTTATTATTAAATAAGTATGCTTTGATTTTGTCATAGTTTATTCGGACAGTAACAGTCCACAGACATTTGAAAATAGACACCATGTTGACAATACATGCATGAATGTATTGTCTTGTGATCAAAATGAGGTCTCAAGATTCAGAGGAACTGTCCTGAAGACCTACGAAATAATGTGCATGTCAGGTGAGTTGATATATCAGGTTGGTACAAAAGTAATTGCGGAGTTTGCCCTTGAAATCAATGTCAACGCCCGCAATTACTTTTGTACTAACTTGATATTTAAATTCACTAAAGTCATTATCTTGATGCAATGAATCATGTCAATTGTGAGATCAAATTATGCAAGTGAAGGATAGTCCCATCAGATGCTAGGAAGTAAAATAACAAGGTTATTACAATAGAAGATTGTGAAACAAATAAGTCAGGTTATTAATAAAACTGTCAGTTGCTTAATGCCAATATTAGTCTAGGTACATATGAATACAGCAATAAAGAAAAAGTTATTAGAATAAGTTAACTGTAGAAATGAATTCGAATGTCATATGTGTGTCTGTAGAATATTAACTATTGTATCTCAAAAACCTCATGTCTGAGATGGACATTCTTGTACCAAAAAGAAGACCTAAAACTTTGTTTACCATTTTCTCATACATAGGGATAATAGACACAGCTCTGAGCAAAATTCAGTCTCTTCTAGGGTTTGAATTAATAAATTTGTCCTCAAAAAAATATATGTCCTTGAAGTCAGAACTTTAATATATCTCACTTAGCAAGTTGAACTCTACCACATGGAATTAAATCTACTTGTTTTGGGCCTTAGAGGGTTTAACATCCTTCAAGTGAGGTTATGCAGTGGCATATTTACATGTGTTAGAAAAATGTGTGTTTTCCACTGAATCTCTAGGAAAATGGATACACATAATTTACATCCTTCTAGTTGGATAATTGAGTGTAGTCAGAACAGAATATTAGGATGTTTTTCCTAGTTTTGTTTAGGCCACAGACATTAAGCTAAATAATATACCACTTGTCTATAGGTTTGAGCTCAAACTTAAACTTGAAGTTTGATTTTGTATCATGTGTTTTGAGGAAATATTTCTAAAGGATATTAAAAGAGGCCCATTAGAAATTGTCTCCTTTTTCACCTTTCTAGATAAAAGAATGTATATGTTTAAAGTTGGTAACAATAATTCAATATAATAATTTATGCAAGAGACTTTTAAGTATTGTAGCTATGTAGGCTCTTCCCCCAAAGACATAGTCTCGATTATAACTATTGGGAAAATAAAAAAAAATTCATCTTCTAATAGTAATTTTTGAAATGGATTGTTTGGCTGTTTGACTACATTGTCTTTTTCTTTTCTTTTCTTTTCTTCTTTTCTTTCTTTCCTTTTCTTTTCTTTTTCTTTTTCTCTTGTTTTTATTTTTAATTTTATTTTTTATTTTTTTTTGAGACAGGGCCTTACTCTGTCACCCAGGCTGGAGTGCAGTGACGCGATCTCAGTTCACTGCAACCTCCGCCTCCTGGGTTCAAGGGATCCTCTTACCTCAACCTCCCAAGAAGCTGGGATTACAGGCGCCTGCCATTACACCTGGATACTTTTTTTAATTTTTATTTTTAGTAGAGACAGGGTTTCACCATGTTGGCCAGGCTGGCCTTGAACTCCTGACCTCAAATGATTTGCCTGCCTTGGCCTCCCAAAGTGCTGAGATTACAGGCTTTAGCCACTGTGCCCAGCCTCCCTCTTTTTTTTCCTTCCATTTCTGGTTACTTTATTTCTTTATTCACTTATTCATTCAAACAATTGTTATTAAGCACTCACTATACAGGGCACTGGGATTATATGGGCAATGTGATTGACTCTTTGGATAGAAAGTAATATAAGGCCGGGCGCAGTGGCTCATGCCTGTAATCCTAGCACTTTGGGAGGCCGAGGCAGGTGGATCATGAGGTCTGGAGATCGAGACCATCCTGGCTAACACGCTGAAACCCTGTCTCTACTAAAGCATAAAAAATTAGCCGGGTGTGGTGGCGGGCACCTGTAGTCCCAGCTACTTGGGAGGCTGAGGCAGGAGAATGGAGTGAACCCGGGATGCGAAGCTTACAGTGAGCTGAGATCGCGCCACTGCACTCCAGCCTGGGCGACAGAGCGAGACTTCGTCTCAAAAAAAAAAAAAAAAAAAGAAAGAAAGAAATTAATATAAAAATGTAAATACTTTCAAGCGTTTGGAATTCGAACCTTTAAGCTAACTACTGTTCTATAAACTAAGAAGTATAAACCCATTTTGAAATATAATGATTCTATTATTCAACCATAAAAAAGAGTGAAATCCTGTCATTTGTAGCAAGATAGATGAAGCCGTAGGTTATTATGTTAAGTGAAATAAGCCAAACACAGAAAGACAAATATTGCATGTTCTCACTTATACATGGGAGCTAGAAAAGTGGATCTCATAAAGATAGAGAATAGATTGGTGGTTCCCAGAGATCAGGAAGGGGACACAGGAGAGGAAGATGAAGAGATCTTGATTATATATATAATATGTAATTTGATAGAAGAAATAAGACCTTGTGTTGACAGATAAGCAGGGTGACTATAGTTTACAATAATAGATTGTATATTCAAAAATAGTTAGAAGAAACTAATTTAAATGTTTCTAGGATAAAGGAAAGACCAACATCTAAGGCAACAGTTATTCTAATTACCCTGATTTGATTATATGAGTGTGTCAAATTATCACATGTACCCCCCAAATATGCACATCAATTATGTTTCAAGAAAAAATAAATAAACTAGATTCTTATTTTGGTTTGTAACATTAAAATAGAGGCATTATTAATTTCTCCCTTAAAATTAAACACTTCAGGAAGTGTGAGGATTATGCTTGATAACCAGAAACAAGGACAGAAATTAAAAACAAAGGTTGCATTTTTGTGTTTTTTTTTTACAATCTCATATTCCATAACAGATAGTTTTAGAACACTGCTGGGAAATAACATGTCCTGCTATTATGCAGTAAAGGAAATAAAAGGTACATTTTTCTCCGTGATAGAATTCCACTTCTTGAAAAGTAAAAAAAGCATTTTACTTAGAGAACAAATACTCAACAAAGAGCTATTGCAGCTTTATAAGAATGGTGACATAAAGATGCAATACCTGCCAAGGTGTTAATGGTACCTTTGGTTGTTTTAATTTCTTAAAACTATTCTAATTAGTGGAAAGAAATATCACACTTCCAACTTACACTAATGAGAAAAGTTAGAGTTTAGAGAGTCCTAGAAGAGAGTCCAAATCCTAGAAGTCTATTTCATTATCTGCAAAAGAATCTGAGTTAAAAATATAATCATGTTTCATTTTATTATAATAAAAATATAGAACTGCAAATTTAGAATGAAATGTGAGTTCACATGGGTGCATTCTGTGTAAAAGAGATTCAAGTGAAAAAAATACTTGAAGTGATTATATTTCAATTTGGGAAATACAAAATTAGTCATTCCCAGAAGATAATTGGGTATATTAGCCCAAATTGAGAGCAGAACAATTAAAACTTCATCTAAAGTTTGGAGCATTATCAGGCTGTAGGTAATCATTAAAATTCTCAAATTGACAAGATGACAGGAAAAAAATGTATATTGTCAATATACATTGGGGTTTTGATTTGCATTTCTCCAATGACCAGTGATGATGAACATTTTTTCACGTTTGTTGGCTGCATAAATGTCTTCTTTTGAGAAGTGTCTGTTCATATCCTTCACCCACTTTTTGATGGGGTTGTTTGTTTTTTTCTTGTAAACGTGTTTAAGTTCCTTGTAGATTCTGGATATTAGCCCTTTGTTAGATGTATAAATTGCAAAAATGTTCTCCCATTCTGTAGGTTGTCTCTTCACTCTGATGATAGTTTCTTTAGTTGTGCATAAGCTCTTTAGTTTAATTAGATTCCATTTGTCAGTTTTGGCTTTTGTTGCCATTGCTTTTGACATTTTCTTCATGAGTCGTTGCCCTTTCCTATGTCCTGAATGATATTTCCTAGGTTTTCTTGTAGGGTTTTTATGATTTTAGGTCTTATGTTTAAGTCTCTAATCCATCTTGAGTTAATTTTTGTATAAGGTGCAAGGAACGGGTCCAGTTTCAGTTTTCTGCATATGGCTAGCCAGTTCTCCCAACAGCATTTATTAAAAAGTCAAGAAACAACAGATCCTGGAGAGGATGTGGAGAAATAGGAACGCTTTTACACGGTTGGTGGGAATGTAAATTAGTTCAACCATTGTGGAAAACAGTGTGGCAATTCCTCAAGGATCTAGAACCAGAAATACCAATTGACCCAGCAATCCCATTACTGGGTATATATCCGAAGGATTATAAATCATTCTACTATAAAGGCACACGCACACGTATGTTTATTGCAGCAGTATTCACAATAGCAAAGACTTGGAACCAACCCGAATGCCCACCAACGATAGACTGGATAAAGAAAATGTGACACATATAAGCCATGGAATACTATGCAACCATAAAATGGATGAGTTCATGTCCTTTGAAGGGACATGGATAAAGCTGGAAACTGTAATTCTCAGCAAACTAACACAGGAACAGAAAACCAAACACTGCATGTTCTCACTCATAAGTGGGAGTTGAATAATGAGAACACATGGACACACGGAAGGGAATATCACACACCGGGGCCCGTTGCGGGTAGGGGGCTAGGGGAGGGATAGCATTAGGAGAAATACATAATATAGATGACGGGTTGATGGGTGCAGCAAACCACCATGGCACGTGTATACCTATGTAACAAACCTGCACGTTCTGCATATGTATCCCAGAACTCAAAGTATAATAATAATAATAAAAAAGAAATAATTGAATCCAATGAGGGAAACCTTAAGGAATTGGAGGATTCTTTGAAGTCCGATACATATTCCCCTATCTTTTACCCTATTCATCTTTTCAAAAAATATGCTATATAATGATGCTCACCTGCAAATGACTCTCAGCTACCAGCTCAAACCAATTGCTTAAGGCAAATTGAAAGACCAAGATAATCTTCACTCCTCCCACCTTCACCCACTTCAGTGAATTTTCTTTTACTTTTCTTTTGTTGGAACGGTACTTCTCCAGCTCCTTCTCACACTAATTTCATTTCACTGCTCAAACTTTGACTTGCCCAAATTGCCTTCCTTGACCACCCCTATGTAAAATACACTCCCATTGCTCTACTTTATTTTTCTTTAGGTTATCACCACATGGCGATAACACATGCCATGTTATCACCACACGGCATACCCTGTCTTGCTTCTTTTCTTGTTTGTTGTCTTTCTCCAATGATTAAAATGTAATCTTGGCCATAAAGCCAAGATATTGTTTTTGTTTTCAGCTATAAAACAACATATTGAAAAATGCCTGGCGTATCATAGGTACTCAATGTTTGTTGAAAGAAGTCTAAACCCTGAGGGAAGGCCTTCAAAGCTGTACTTTGTTAGTGATTAAACCACTTTTTATGGAATGATATTGCAGATTATTAACTGGCCAGGCACAGACTGGAGACTTGAGAACTCTGGAGAAAGTTGTATGGGATAGATAGATGGAAGCAGGGACAAACTAGAGAGATGTTAGAATGAGGGCCAGTAAGTGCTTAGGATACAGTTGTTGTGGAGACCCATAAGTATGTAACATTCAAATACATGTGATATGAGAGTCAACCTTGAAATTAAGGGCCTCAAATGTATATAAAGTTATTTCAGTGATGTTCAAGCTGATTTATTCTAGTAATAGTGGTCTGGTCTCTCTAAGTATGAGGAATGGAAAAAAAAAACCCCAAAACACTAGCTACAACTTTGTTTGAAATTTTAATGTTTTGGCAACTGATATACAGTTCTATATTTCAGAGATAGTGGAGAAAAGACCTCATTTAATCATCAATACAGTAAATATGATACCACAATTCAGATCTGGCATATCCAACACAAATTAAAAATATCATAACCAATATGGAAAATGTTCCACACAGTCTTCTTTTGGCTCAATACTGTTGACATTTCAAGAAGCATGCCAAAATATATTGCTAGTAGGAGGTGATGTGGTAGATGAAGAAATTATAAAGGAATGATTTTTCTAGTCATACCTATGAATAAAGAAAAAATATTGGATTATCTATAAAATTTATATTCCAGGAAACACATACTACATATAATATGTAAAATACTTGTGCACAAAATACATATAAACATTCAAACATGCAAGATAGTGTAATATAATATAATTATAGTTATTACTAATTGATATTTTCTAGTGCTAAAACAGTAGGCTACTAATATTTATTTTATAAATGACTAAATGATTGACAGTTAATAGTCAAACTCTTCACTGTGTTATGCAAATAAAGATTCTATTTAATGCTCCCATTAAATAAGAAATATTTACATCTCTCATCCAATTTTGAAGAAACATTTTCTTAATTTCCAAATAGTTTACTAGACATAAAATATAATATTACTTCCTACATTGAGTATTTCTTGATGTATTTGGATTATAGATTTGTCAAATAATTACACTGGGAAAATGTCCTTTTGGAAAAAATTTTAAAAACCTTTGAAAAGTAAAGTCTTCGTAATCTATTTTATTAGAAATCTTTTTATTAATAGTTTTATGTTGTAAACATTCTGTAGATTTAATTAAGTTCTGCCTTATAATATTCTTCTGGCATTGCCTTGCTTTGTTTATTTCTGGTTTACCTAAAGGTTCAGGTCTTAATCTGATCCAATTGATTTTTTTATTCTATCACAGTATCATGCTCACAATTCTAATTTTGCACTTAGTAAACTTCTTTGTAAACCTATTTACCCTTCTAGAACTGAGGTTAAGGAAGGTTGTCAGTATCTCATTTTTTTTTTTTACCAAGTTTCTCATATTGTGGGACTCATGATAAGCAATTTCAAAATACAGAATGAATGACATCAAAGGGGATATCACTATTCAGAAAATACAACTACAACCTCAGCTCTCATCCATAACAATTATGGTGTTATTTTTTCTCATATAAGGTTATTTGGAAGAGTTGCTTGATCTCTTTCCATTGTCAGGAAAACCAAACAAAAATAGAATCAAGCTGTGAGACCAATGCCCTTTCACATTATTCTTGAACTCCTGACATGGATACGGGGTTGCCTCAGTAGTTGAGTCTTTCAGAGGAAGCAATCTAGGGCCAGACACTAGGTTGGAATCTTGGCTCTTTCACTTATCACATACAATATGATCATGGGCAATTTATGTAACTTTTTTGTGCATTGCTTGTCTCTTTTATACATTAGTTAATAATGATAACCACTTCACAGTGTTATGTGACCATGAAACTAGTTAATACTGGAAAAAAGTTTAGAACTGTGGTGGGCGCACTCGAAGCACTCAAAAAACGTCAGCTATTATTATCAGATTTGCTGTTGCACCCTCTGTCACGATGATGTATACTTATTATTATACACATCTATGCATATAGGTTTTGACCAACCATTTAAGTTTAGGAGATGTAGATAGAACAATGGAGATAAACTGAGGGCGACTAAATTTCAGAATGGAGAAACCTCTAATAATTATAATGAAAACATAAGGAAAAAAGGAGACCAGATAAAGTGAACCACGACTATAAGTCACCATTGACTTGACGCTCTGTCAGACTTTTTTTTTTTTTTTTTTTTTTTACTATACTTTAAGTTCTAGGGTACATGTGCACAATGCGCAGGTTTGTTACATATGTATACATGTGCCATGTTGGTGTGCTGCACCTATTAACTCATAATTTACATTAGGACCTGTCAGATTCTAAATATACTGTGGAGGCAAATGCAATCTAGATCGGAACCTCAAGGGGAATGACAGTGATGGCAAGTAGGAAAGTAGGCTTTATATATTTATCTATATCTATATCTATATGAGTTTTCCCAGAGAAATTGCTGCAGAAAAAATTTGTATAAAGTAGCTCAAATTGTAAAATTTAAAAAAATCTACTAAAAATATATATATATATTTCTCCAAGCAGAAATGTTGAGTGAAAATCAAAAGGCAAACTTTAAAGTAAACCAGTGTAGCCACTTGTCTTTGTGAAGATTTCTTCTAAGAGTCATTACTTCTGGTTAAATGCATCCAGTTCACAGAGGAAATTTTCTATAGTTTATTTTTTAAAATTTGCAAAAAACCATATGCCTGCAAGTTACACAGATAACTCTTCTTTGTGAATCAAAAAGTGTATAGCAAAAGTTAAAGTATTTTATAAGCCAATCTCTGATTTAAAGAGAATTTATCTGAAGTATTTAAATTATTGCTTTGATGTTGTATTCTTAAGTGAAGATCCTACTTAAATTTTTGTTCAATGACTAGTCTTAAAGGTACTTACTCAAGCTCAAATTGCAGCAGTTAATTCAAGAATCTTACATGTTCTTCTTAAAAGAAAAAGAATAATGCATTTTAATGTACAAAGGCTATTTATATCTCACTTGAAATATTTAGAAACAATTTTAGACATCTAACATTCAAACCTAAATTATAGAAGTCTTATTTTCTATAATGATAATGATAAAGTCCTCCAAATGTTACATGCCTATCTAAGAAATTCAGTCACATCTCAAAATAAAAATAGAAAATAGAATTCAGAGAATTATCAGACTCAGACCCAGTCCTAGGATTTCTGATGCTAAATTATTAATATTTATGCTAAATTTTCAGCTTTCTTTTTTGTTTTCTTTTCTTTTCTTTTCTTTTCTTTTTTTTTTTTTTTTTTTTTCTGAGACGGAGTTTCACTGTTGTTGTCCTGGCTGGAGTGCAAGGGCGCGATCTTGGCTCACTGCAAACTCCACCTCCGGGGTTCAAGCGATTCTCCTGCCTCAGCTGCCTTAGTAGCTGGGATTACAGGCGCCCGCCACCATGACCAGCTAAATTTTGTACTTTTAGTAGAGATGGGGTTTCACCATGTTGGCCAGGCTGGTCTTGAACTCCTGATCTCTGGTGATCTGCCTGCCTCGGCCTCCCAAAGTGCTGGGATTACAGGCGAGCTATCGCGCCCAGCCAATTTCAGCTTTTTAGATTCAATTTCCTGCTCTACCATTTACTTCTTATGTTAAAGAAAAGGCATCCTAAGCCAAAAGACTTATTAAATGAAGGTAAACTATTAAATATAGCTTGGAAAATTGAATCCACTTCTTTTAATTTCAGAATCTGTTGTAAAATTAATATTATTTCTATCTCTCTACTTCAATGGATTACTGTAAAAATCAAGAGAATATATACACAAATGTTTAGAAAATTAAAATCTAATATAATGCAATTCTTTTTCCCTAGCATTATGATTGCAGTTGTATTTGAACCGTATGATTTTTATTTCATTACTGGCCTTAACATTTTGATTTAAATTTGATTTAACTTCTACGTGATAACTTAGATTCTTTTTTTAATTTCATTTCTTTTTATCTCATTTTTCACAAAACACAATAATTATATATATTTTTAAAAGGGCAAACATACCTAAATGGGAATATATGGGTAGGTGTTTTCCTGAATGTGATTCCACAGGCTCATAGACTACAAGGGGAACAGCCTGGACATACTGGGGGACAGTGAACTTCTGGAGAAACTGGTTGGTTTTCGTCTAGAAAGAAATAAAATTATTAATAATTATCCCATATTTAATCTCTCCCAGAGTTCAAAAGAGAGCTACATAGAAGCAAATGAATTAAAACTTTGCCTATTTACATAACTGCTAAATTATTCCAGGTAGAACCAGCAAAAGGAGAGTTTACTTATGTAAAAATCACTGTAAATATTTATATGTTATGGAGTAAACTTCAGAATTCTTCAGAATTAAAGAGAGTCTCTAATTCTGACACTCACACAAAGATGTCTAAGAGAAAAAAATAAATTTATATGTAAGAAGCCAAGAGGAAAATTATTTGAATTACAGATATGTGTCTCAGTTTATTATTTATTGTTCTGTATATAATCCTTAGAGTCAGAGAGGCTCAGCATAATTTTTTGTGATTTTACTCACTGGAATCTATGATAGCGGTCTTGTTGCTTAAGCTCTCTGAGCATCATTTGCATTGCAGAATTATTTAAGTTAATATATAGAGAGCATTCTGATTAGTGCTGATCACTTCTTTTATGTACAATGGATGCTCCCTACATCCAACTTCTTTCTTTAAGCATTCTTCATAAACCTTATTATAAATTATTGTAGGTAATAAAGATGAAATTAAAATGGCAACTTTACACAAGATAATTTCCAGTTTTTATGAACATACAGTAAGTGTTGACTGGATCCATGACTATGATATACAACTGATACAATGGTAGAATTCTTTTGGGATCATTTTGACAAAGTATAAAGATTTTCATAGCAACTAGAACTTATGAAACCAGATAGGTTTTCAGTTGGGAGAATTAATTTGAGAACATTGAAGCAAATAGTACTCCTGTTACAAAAATTTTACAAGAAATTTGTGTCTAGGAGGATGATGACCATAATATTAATATTACTGCTGTAGTACATTTATTGTATTATACAGTTTACATGTATTACCTGAAATGATCCTTTCCAAAAAAATTAAAGTCAGAAGTATATTTACATGTTCACTGTTTTATTGAAGACACTGTAATTGAGAGGGACAAAGTACTTAAAAAATGTCACAGCCATAAAAAAGGGTGGAGCTGCAGTTGGAAAATAAACTGCCTGACTCCAAAGCCCATGTCCTTTCACTGAGATACATAAGCCTCTTGACCACACTGATTGGCTACAAGAACTACGGCTTGAAAATAATCACTAATAGTTTTTTATTTTGAGAAATCAGGTCATAACATACTGTCAAAGAGAAGTTGGAATACAGTTGTGCTATACTAGTACCTTGATTAAATCATTTAAAATATAAACATTATTTTTTGAGATTTGCAATTGCTCAAAAAACAATAGACTAAAATTGTTTTTCTTAAAAGATATATTCATATTTATTTGAAAAGAAAGGTGCATACCATGATAACAACAATAACAGAACTACTATAGATTTTAAATTTGATTTTAAATATTTATTTGGAATTCAGTGATGTGAAAGTTGAGGGGAAGAAAGAGTTGAGATTTTATATATATATATATGTATATACATGTATATATATGTGTGTGTGTATATATATATTTTTTTCTTTATTTGCACTGTAAGTTTATGAAATAACTACCAGCTGTTTCAGGTAGTTCTTTTCTTCATTTGACTTAATTTTCTGTTTAGAACCAAAAACAACTGTTATGAAAACAAAAGAAATTACTACTGGATAATATTAATTGTATTTTGTTTCAAAGATAATTACACACCTCAGGGAATACTTCAGCAGATTCCTAAAGGGAAGAAATTAAAAATCAGCTTTACTTGTATGACACACCAGTAATTGCATGTAACTAGTTATAGTAAAGTGCTAAAGCACACACCAACGTGGCACATGTATATATATGTAACAAACCTGCATGTTGTGCACATGTACCCTAAAACTTAAAGTATAATTAAAAAAAAAGAAAAATTCAGAGCCACGTCATTGTTAATGAGAAGTGATCTTAATCACCGATTAGAGAAATCAATTAAGAATCATTACAATAAAACATTCATTACTAGAGCACACACTCTGTGTTAACAATGACACATTTCTAAAGATATGTGTTATTACAAAGTCTTCATCCAGGTGCATTGTTCAGACAGTAAAAATGACTACAGAGAGTAGTCAGGTAAAATAATGAACACATAGGCCAGGTGAGGTGTGATGTAAACCAAAGCTCACATGCCGTTTCTAGAGTGATATGGGTTCTTATACTGAGATTGAAAGAAAGAATAAAATATGCTTCCTAAGGCACCGATAAGGAAGACCTTGTACTGTGCCTCAGGTCACAAGACTCCAGCTCACAATCCGTATTTCCCCCTTCCCCAGGACCTTTTCCAATTGTGCTCACCTACCTGGCTCTTTCTATTACAATAGGTGTTTCTTGTGGCAGTCACCAAATAACTCATATAGTTCACCCTACTGGATGATACTTATTATCTCCTAACTAATACTAGTTATCTCCTAAATAATATTGAGAGAGTAAAACTTTAGTGAAAGCAATTGGCAGGCTCTAGATTTCATACTGAGCTGTATTAAAAAATGAAGTTCAGGCTGGGCGTGGTGGCTTATGCCTGTAATCCCAGCATTTTGGCACAGTTATATCATAACCATTATGAAATAAAAATAACTTTTTAAAATTTATGTAATAAAAGATAACTTTAAATTTTTATTTAATTTTAGTAGTTATGACTTACTTCTTGGGAGATGCTGGTAGATTCCTTAGGAAAAAGAAAAGATAAGACATCTTAATTATATATCAATTCAGATATTACTTTCCACCATGCAGTTTACCACTTTTTCACAAAAGAACAAAACTAGGCAAATCATTAGGTGATATTCAGGGTATCTCTAGGCATATGTTATGCACTATTAGTAGAAATATATTTGAAAATTAACAATGTATAAAGTTGAATCTTTATTTGGAAAACATATAATAAATTCCTCTTATCCAGTTTACAAATTTGAGAATGGACACCATGATTCCTGAAGGAATATTGTTATTCAATGACAGCTAGCAAAAGAAATGGTATTGAACATTTTTTTCTAGAACCTGGTCCTGTACCAATCTAATCTGGCTAACTTTGAATGTTACAGTTGTAGTCGGCATCCACAAATTATTCTTGTCATTGCTGCACTTTTTATTTTCTCTAATTCTGTAATTCTAATTTGATGCATAAAGAATAATAATTTGGAATAAAGGCAATCTTGTACAGAATTTAATATCTGGACTATTCAATATCATAGTGCTTACATTCAAAAAGTGAACTTTAGAATTAAAGAAATCAACTCATCAAAGTCATTCTCCGTCCAGCTTTGTTCCGTTGCTGGTGAGGAACTGCGTTCCTTTGGAGGAGGAGAGGTGCTCTACTTTTTAGAGTTTCCAGTTTTTCTGCTCTTTTTTTTCCCCCATCTTTGTGGTTTTGTCTACTTTTGGTCTTTGATGATGGTGATGTACAGATGGGTTTTTGGTGTGGATGTCCTTTCTGTTTGTTAGTTTTCCTTCTAACAGACAGGACCCTCAGCTGCTGGTCTGTTGGAGTTTGCTAGAGGTCCACTCCAGACCCTGTTTGCCTGGGTATCAGCAGCGGTGTCTGCAGAACAGCGGATTTTCGTAAACTGCGAATGCTGCTGTCTGATCGTTCCTCTGAAAGTTTTGTCTCAGAGGAGTACCCGGCCATGTGAGGTGTCAGTCTGACCCTACTGGGGAGTGCCTCCCAGTTAGGTTGCTCAGTGGTCAGGGGTCAGGGACCCACTTGAGGAGGCAGTCCACCCATTCTCAGATCTCCAGTTGCATGCTGGTAGAACCACTGCTCTCTTCAAAGCTGTCAGACAGAGACATTTAAGTCTGCAGAGGTTACTGCTGTCTTTTTGTTTGTCTGTGCCCTGCCCCCAGAGGTGGAGCCTACAGAGGCAGGCAGGCCTCCTTGAGCTGTGGTGGGCTCCACACAGTTGGAGCTTCCCAGCTGCTTTGTTTACCTAAGCAAGCCTGGGCAATGGCAGACGCCCCTTCCCCAGCCTCACTGCTGCCTTGCAGTTCGATCTCAGACTGCTGTGCTAGCAATCAGCGGGACTCTGTGGGTGTAGGGCCCTCAGAGCCATGTGCGGGATATAATCTCCTGGTGCGCTGTTTTTTAAGCCCATCGGAAAAGCGCAGTATTAGGGTGGGAGTGACCTGATTTTCCAGGTGCCATCTGTCACCCATTTCTTTGACAAGGAGAGGGAACTCCCTGACCCCTTGTGCTTCCTGAGTGAGGCAATGCCTCGCCCTGCTTCAGCTCACCCATGTTGCACTGCACCCACTGTCCTGTGCCCACTATCTGACACTCCCTAGTGAGATGAACCCTGTACCTCAGCATGGTACTGGTACCAAAACAGAGATATAGATCAATGGAACAGAACAGAGCCCTCAGAAATAACGCTGCATGTCTACAACTATCTGATATTTGACAAACCTGACAAAAACAAGAAATGGGGAAAGGATTCCCTATTTAATAAATGGTGCTGGGAAAACTGGCTAGCCATATGTAGAAAGCTGAAACTGGATCCCTTCCTTACACCTTATACAAAAATTAATTCAAGATGGATTAAAGACTTAAATCTTAGACCTAAAACCATAAAAACCCAAGAAGAAAACCTAGGCATTACCATTCAGGACATAGGCATGGGTAAGGACTTCATGTCTAAAACACCAAAAGCAGTGGCAACAAAAGCCAAAATTGACAAATGGGATCTAATTAAACTAAAGAGCTTCTGCATAGCAAAAGAAACTACCATCAGAGTGAACAGGCAACCTGCAGAATGGGAGAAAATTTTCGCAACCTACTCATCTGACAAAGGGCTAATATCCAGAATCTACAATGAACTCAAACAAATTTACAAGAAAAAAACAAACAACCCCATCAAAAAGTGGGTGAAGGACATGAACAGATACTTCTCAAAAGAAGACATTGATGCAGCCAACAGACACATGAAAAAATGCTCACCATCACTGGCCATCAGAGAAATGCAAATCAAAACCACAATGAGATACCATCTCACACCAGTTAGAATGGCAATCATTAAAAAGTCAGGAAACAACAGGTGCTGGAGAGGATGTGGAGAAATAAGAACACTTTTACACTGTTGGTGGGACTGTAAACTAGTTCAACCATTGTGGAAGTCAGTGTGGCGATTCCTCAGGGATCTAGAACTAGAAATACCATTTGACCCAGCCATCCCATTACTGGGTATATACCCAAAGGACTATAAATCAGGCTGCTATAAAGACACATGCACACGTATGTTTATTGCAGCACTATTCACAATAGCAAAGACTTGGAACCAACCCAAATGTCCAACAATGATAGACTGGATTAAGAAAATGTGGCACATATACACTATGGAATACTATGCAGCCATAAAAAATGATGAGTTCATGTCCTTTGTAGGGACATGGATGAAATTGGAAATCATCATTCTCAGTAGACTATCACAAGGACAAAAAACCAAGCACCGCATGTTCTCACTCATAGGTGGGAATTGAACAATGAGAACACATGGACACAGGAAGGGGAACATCACACTCTGGGGACTGTTGTGGGGTGGGGGGTGGGGGGAGGGATAGCATTAGGAGATATACCTAATGCTAAATGACGAGTTAATGGGTGCAGTACACCAGCATGGTACATGCATACATATGTAACTAACCTGCACATTGTGCACATGTACCCTAAAACTTAAAGTATAATAATAATAAAATAAATAAATAAAAAGAAATCATGTGGCTATTTTAGTATTCCTGTTCAAGTGAAGCTTTTTACTGAGTGTAAAAAGCAAAAGAATGTGTGTGAAGGGAAGTGGAGGCTCATCAAGAAATTTGTCTTAGTTTTTCATTCATTTTTCCACATCCGGTTGAAGAAGCTTTGCAGTTGGAGTAGGGACATCTCATTTATATTCCCTTTCCCCTGGACTGGTTGCTTTACCTCTCATAAGCATCACATACCTTGAAGTTTTATATGGATTGAAATATGAAGAGTGGTTTTTATAGTACCTGTCACATATGTCCATCTGAAAAATTTTCTAGTATGTTTCTACTTTGATTTTGCTGTGAATACTTAACCAAAAATTCCTGTAGAAATTAAAGATGGAATAATTTAAAATGGCATCTTCACTCTTGGAGAATTTCCAGTTCATACAGATGATAAGTAAATAGGTATGTAAAACATGTGTTTTTTGAATTGCTCAGGGTTAAGTTTTAAACGGACACATGATTACAACCAACAAGGGAAGAATACAATTAAATTTATTTAGACAAAGTATAAAAAAGATTATCAGGGCAATTAGAATTTTCTAAAAATAAAATAGTTTTATTTTAGATATCTTGTTTTAACATGACCAAGATTTAAAATGGATTTTTTGTCTGTGTATACATTTAATAATAATTGCTACTTTTGGCACATCTTGGAAATTTTTCAAGTAATTGATTATATAATTTACCTATATTATCTAGCATCATCCTCATAAAAACCTGTAGGATTAGTATTACTAAATTCATTTACAGTCGAGAAAAATGTAAGGTCCAGAGGTTAAATAATAACTTAGAGAGCTGAAGTTGGAAGGGAAATCACTTGACCCTGAAGCCTATCCTCTTTCCTTGCACTGCACATTTCTCTAGTCCACAGAGGATGAGTTATGTGATTTCCTATGGCTTAGAATGAAAGTGGTTAAAAGCTTATAAATTCCTGTTGCTACTTCATAGAGCTGAGTGATGAATTTTGTGTTTGTTAAACTACGGTGATGTCTCCATTAGATCACTTTAATTCCTTTTTTTTTTTGAGAGTTGAGGTCTTGCTATGTTGCTTAGGCTGGTCTTGAATTCCTGGCCTAAAACAATCCTCCTTCCTCAGCCTCCTAAAGTGCTAAGATTACAGGTATGCACCACCATGCCCAGCCTAATAATTTATTATTATGTTTGTAATTCTTCCAAATTTAGTTGGATTGCTCATTTTTCTTAAAAGATAACTCTAGATATATTTGTTAACATAGTATTTATGTATCACAGTAACAACAACAGGAAAAAGTAATTTTATCATAAGTGTGGTGCTAGATATTTCAATGTGGTGCTAAATATTTCATTGAGAAGAAATGATGTGATCATTTGGAAGAAGAAATAATTGTGAAATATATTCTTTTACTTGAAATAATACATTGTATGAAAAACTTACCATGTGCTTTAAGTAGATCCTTCCTTCCTTAGTCAGTTCATTGTTCTATTGAAACCCAAAGGACATATTAGAGAAATACGAAATAAAAATGTTACTAATGGTATTAATTTTATTTAAATAATGACTTACTTCAGTGGATACTTGAGCAGATTCCTAAAGGAGCAAAATGATAAATAGCTTTACTTGAATGACATAGTGATAATTGTCTCTACATAATTTTAGGAGAAAGTTAGGGATGAGTAATTATTCAGGGTCCAACCCACTAGCACTAAGATACTCTCATTTATTAAGAATTAAATATGTGACATTATTTATCACCAGGACTTTTTCTGTCAACATAATAAAAGGACTAAAATGTGTTTTATTTTGAATGCTTTATTAATTTAACATTTTTCAGGCAATTTCGTATGACTACAGAGTACAGGCAGGTGACCAAAAATATGCAAAATAGACCTGGTGAGGGTGTAATAAACTAAACCCTACATGCTTTTTGTTGAAATGACAGACATGGCTCAAGGCTCTCAGATTGAGATCAACACTTAAAATTAAGGAAAGACTAAGGTGAGCTTCCTAAGGCACTGATTATAAAGAACTTAGGCTTTGTCCAAGGTCATGGGACACTGGACAATAATCCACGATGACACTGCCTGCTATTCTAGGGCACTCTTACAACCTGGCTCGCCACCACAGAATGTTTCATGGGTTGGTGACTTACACAATTCCTAACCCAAATCTTCATTCAATCTTTTTAAAAGTGGTTCTCAAAGTATTATGTGTATCAGTATCACCTAGAGGCCCTGCTAAAATACAGATTGCTTAGCTCCAAACCAGAGTTTTTGATTTAGTAAGTCAGCTGTGAGGACTATGATTTTGTATTTCTCACTGTTTTCCAGGTGCTGTGGTGCTACTTATCTGGGGGCTACCATTTGAGAGCTGCTGTGCTAAACAATATTGAGAGGGTTTCCAAAGAGAAATGATGCTGAAGGAAATTGGCAAGCTCTTGATTGGCACAAAAATGCAATTTCCTATTGAGTCATGTATACATTTGCAGAGAGAATAGGGCAGAATAAATAATAATTCTCAATATAGTCAATTTCAGCCACTCAAAATGATTTTGAGTCATGTATGTGATTTTTCCACTTCTCCCTTTGAGTGTTTAGATGTAAATTATCAAACTATTGTATACTACTACTAGAAAGCTGCTATTTCTTTGATTTTAAAAGAAACAGTATCTTACCCCACTGGATAAACTGCTAGAAGATTGCTGATAAGTTGAAATGAAAATAAAAATAAAATAATTTGGTGATAGGAATAAATTGAATCCTTGAATAGCAGTAGTTACTTTAGATATGTTCCACATTAATTACCTACTTCATCATTGTACTAAACATCAAAAGAAGGATTGAAATAAAAACAATATAATCAGGTTTCATAGGTTCTTATTATGAATCATCTTTGCAAAACAAATGGGAGGGATTCACATAATCTGTTATTTAAATGGAAGTATCTCCATTATGAGAATAAGGGCAAATTTAAGAGAATAAAAAGAATGGATGCAGGATGAAGTTATAATTTAAAAAAATTTTTAAAAATAATTTCTGGATTATTAAAAGAGGAATATTCCAGATATGTTACAGACTATTATTAATATTTAATATTAGGTATACATATTGTCAATCAAATATAGTTCAGATGAATAAAAATATCTCACCATCGTATCTATTTTATTTGCAGTTTCCTAGTTAAAAAAGAATTAGACATATTATTCCTGTAGCATTGCTTATAAGGTATATTCTACTGAATGTAAAGAAAAAACCCACCTACCACAGAGAGAAGCATTCATTTTCATTTTAGGGATTTGAAAGAATTATATCAAAATTGTTCATTTCATAATAAACGTGCCAACAGTAGTAAATTCAAATGTAAGCCCCATGAGGGAGGGAATTTGTTTGTTGTATTTATTTGCTGTGGTATTTCAGAGCCTAGAATATTGTTTGGGATACAGTTCTTCCTCAATAATATTTGTTAAATGAATAAGTGAATACACAAAATTAATTTAGTCTGCAGCTGGATAATTATTTTTAACTTTAAATAACTGTAAACATTTTAATGTATATTTGAAATACATAATTAGGACTTAAACCTGTGATTTGCAGATAGATTATAAAAGTTTTCATTAAAAATAAATGTATTTAATTTTAAAAGACAAAATTTTGAGATAAATATTAAAAATTAGCTGAAGGAATTAAAAATCACAAAATTACTAGGTCTCTATTCTTTGTTGGAAATAACTGTGGAAGTGTTTAGTGGATTCATTGATTCTTGCACAAATTAATATTCTTCAGTTGAATTATTCATTGAATTAGGACAAGTGCATGCTTTTGTCCTGTTTTTCAAATTTCTCTTACAACAAGTATACTTTTTATATGTGCTAATTTCAACTTTACTCAAGATCAGATTTGAAATCAAGGTCTTATACTTGCTAGAATTTGGAGCAAATGTCCTTCCAAAAATGAAATTGGAATTGATTCAAATCCTGATTCAAGAGAAACATAATTTTCCATAATTCTTATATAGATTTTTTAGCATAAAGTAAAATACATTAAATGGTCATCCAAAAAGTCAAGAATTAGTGAGGTGAAGAGTAGATGATTGATCATAAATAACTCCATTCAAAGAGATGACGCTTTGAAAACTTGGTTCACAAATGGGCCACAAATATGTTTTCACGTGATCCTTTCACATAATTTCATAGCAGTTAAGACAATACAAACATCACTCACTTTACACTTGGAGATGAAAAAATAATACTCACATGGAAAATAATTTATAATTGATAAAAATACACCTCATTAATCAAACACAACATTAACAGATGAATTTTACCTGACTGGTTTGGAAGACCATATTATTGTTAAGCTTAAACTTCTGGAAAAAATAAATAATATTCATTTTATAGCTATATAAAAATGACAAATTATTTAAAAACATTTAATGTAAGAAGTTATGACTTACTTCTTGGTAGATGCTGGCAGATTACTTAGAAAAATAAATTAATAATACATTTGATTACTTGTGAAATATTTTATTCATACTACCCAAATTAGCATCAATTCATACTCATTATACAGTAGCTCAAGATAAAATACTTGGTCTTTTCCTGAATTACAGAGTGAATCTGACCAAAAATTTTACTCTCCTTAATTAACTTATTATTATATTCTAGTTAAATAACTTGATCTGAACTCTTAATATACTTGTGGGATAAGCCAGATACAATATTTTTGCAAATGCTAACAGCAAACAGCAAAGGAATAATTTTATTTGTCTTCTGCACAGTTTTTTTTTCTTTGTCTTTTTCTCTCTTTGATTTCTAAGTGAAATATATAGTAGCATAACATGGCAATTATTTGGCCAACCTTAAAGAGCTTTGGACACCTTGTATGTAGCCATGAGCAAGAAGACATTTAGAAATGAGCACTTAATATAGATGTAGGTGTACCTGAGCCCCTTTCTCCATAATAATATGTAATGGACTCCATAATAATATGTAAAGGACACCATTACTTCCATACTAATATCACCGTTATTGGATAACTACCAAAGAATCAAGTGGAAAAGTGCACAAATCTAATCTTGTCACATTTGGATGCATGCATTTTAGTTTATTCTCCCCATACGTTCAAGCAATAATTGCACTTCAAATTTTCCATGATTCTGTAACTCTGCTGTTACTGATCACAAAAATGGAACTAACCCAGGACATTTGTATTATCAGGTGCCAAGAAGTGTTTTTATAATAAAGTACCTTACCTCACTGGAAGAGGAGGAGTGCTTTATCTCCTATATAAGTCACAAAAAACAAACACAAATTTAATTTAAAATACCAATGTGAATCTTTGTCTCTACTATTTAATGGGAATAAAATATTGTAACACTGCTTCTTGGGGAAATTTAATGAAATGAGGCCTCCTTTAACAAATTACCTCTGTTTCTAATATTGTCAATAAATAATGAAAACATTACTCTGAATTTCCCCGGAAAACTCTGAAACAAATGTCCCTTGATTTTTAGCTGAGAGTCCTTGTCTATTAAATGGAACAATTGAGGCCAATTATTTAATTTTTAAAAGTGAAGGAGAGTGGTTACATCTAGTAACCACCAGTAGAGCATAAGATAGAAGAAATTATTGATCCTGTGTATTATTGATTACTAAAGCATTGTTTTTTTTTTTACTTTTTAAACCAACCTGTTCATATTAAAAATGAAATTCTCACTTTAGATTTACTCAGTTGGCTACAAATTTAAGAAGGCACAAATGCCTGCATGTATATATCTCTTACATATGGGGATGTGCATTATAAAAGAGTACACTGAGCACTATAAAAGTAAAAGATGACTTTATGGGAAGAGTGACATGTTGGAGTGGGAAGGAGGTGGGTATGTGAGTTTTTTTTTCCTGTGAATGAGGGTGCTAATAATGTTAGAAGATTAAAATTATAGGTAGTACAAAATGTATATATGTATGTATATATATGTATCTATATCCATGTATGCAAGGCAGTTTTATATGTATTGTCTATTACATACTTACAGTTTTGTGACATGAATATCATTATTGTATCCTCACTGGGTTATTTGGCAAATAATTTACAAAGTTGCCACTGAAAATCTAGAGCTACTAACTCCATCCTCTGTAACATGTCCTTGTGTATATTTGATCATCATGGCTTCTTAATTACTTTTATCAAGAATGCTGAAATTCTGTTACTCCATTGATAGCTACCTTTGGAATCCGCAATTATAGTGGTGAGGCTTTCTTACACTTCTAGAAACATGTGGCAGAGTGGAAATAATCCCTCCAGAAAATTTCAACATATATTCCAACATATTACGGAGGAAAATTCCTGCCTTTTTTCCCTATACATACAGCCTATCCAATACTAAAGTGAAGTCACTTTGTAGAAAGACTATTTGCCTGAACACTCTGTTTAAGGTAGAGTCAATAATGTCATTGATCACAGACTAAAAGGTCACATATTTAGTCTCTGTTTATTACTGTTAATGCCTGAATCTTCTGCATATAGTAAAAAGTTCATTTTTCTTATACACTTAAATAAGAATTGATATCACTATATGTCCCAGTATGTTTACATGATGTGCCAGAGCAACAGCCAAAAGGCAGGTAAAGATGAAGAACTTCATGGTTGTTTGGTCCTGTAAAAACATGTACAGAAAATTAATCACATAATTTATAGTTCCAAAACTTATACATTCTTTTATTTATTTACCTATTATTATTTTTATACCAGATGATTGAGAAAAGATAATGAAGATTGAAAGCATTTGCTTTTGAGAAGCTCATAAATATGAATATGAATATAATAGTTTATTTTGAAAGAGACTTTTTTTTCAACAGGACTAATTTAAAGGCATATTTGTTAAAATGTGGAAGATTCATTCAAATATCATTGGTTCTTGGGGCTAATCTCCAATGACAGGCATTTTGTGACGAATGATTATCAGAAAAACAAAATACAACAGGAACTCCTTTTAAAATCAGATTTCAAGGAGTCAAAACATGCAGCCTGGCTCCCTAATAGGAAATAGCAGATAGAATTAACACTGGATTGGGAATAAAGAATCCTGCAGGTCCCCGTTTAACCCTGGACTGGCCACTAAAGCTTCAGTAAGCCAGTGAACATCACCATACCTTATTTAACACATTTAATAAATGTGAGTTGACTACACGATCTCTAAGATCCCTTCCAGCTAGACTGATGTCTCATATTATTGATATAAACAAATCCACAAGGTTTTCTGAATACGTGTCACTAAATTTCTCTTCCTTATGTTTAAATGAATAAGTAAAAATTAAAGTTATTCTAAAATATTTTTGATATATGTAACTCTTTATAGTGTACATATTTACAATTTATTTTTAAAGGATAATTTAAAGCTTACCCAATGATAACAAAATGGGCTTATGATCCACACCTTTGTGAATACAGAGGGTGTGTCTATACAGGCATCAAATTACACCTTCATATTTTATTGCATAATTTTTGAAAGATTTCTCCATTATATAGTATAAAATATCTCACCCTTGAAGTGAATAATAATACCATGTAGTTGATGAAATAATCATTAATAATACCATATAGTTGATGAAATAATTATTTATTCTTCTAAGATGCAAATAATAAATATGTATAGAGCATATTTCATATAGGCAAAGCTTTGTTCACAATTGTAAGGCATATTTCGTTATCTTTATAATAAATACCTGAAGTAATATATTTTATATGGCTGTGTTTATATCAATTTTACCTATAAATAGCATTTTACATAGATGAAAGAATTAAAACATGGAAACTGTTAGTTCTTAATTAGACATATTCTTAATATTTTGGGAAAGGAAATTAAAAATAGCTGTAACTACTAAGCAACAACTATGGCAAATATTGTGCTAGACATTTTACTGTTATCTGTAATCTTCAGAATAACTATGTAATGTCAGAATTTTTGCCTCCCATTTCCAGACGGAGAAAGTGGTCGAGAGGCCATATACAAACTGATTATCTTGGTCATGACTTCAGAAAATAACCTCAGTACCTATAAGACTGTGTCATAATAAGCATAACATATTAATTGTATTATTAAAAAATAAAATAACAAAGAAGTTTGTCATAAATAAAAATATTTCTTAAGCAATTTATGGTGTGTTGATATTGACACCTTTAAAAATAATTGCATTTTTATTGTACAGAAGAGTAATAAGCTTTAAAATATTTTTTATTAGCACCTAATACAAGAAAAATAATATATGAAGATATTACCTTGTTTCCCAAATAGAAGACCAGTGGACTACACAGTGGAAAATCTGCAGTGGGTTATTTTAATACTATTTAAACCTTGTTCCTCCATAATAGGGTAATTCTGTGCTTTAAAATATCTAAAAAGGCACTTGAATTCTGAGAAGTCAGAATGGTTAGAAATTTTTTTCTTGATTTTTGTTCCACAAATTCCAAGGAGTGCTTTAGGACAGTTTGATTTAGAACATGATAACAGGAAATGAGGATGTTATAATACTTAATAATTGGCTGTATTTTGTATGTAGCCTCATTCATGAAATAGTTTTTTGATTTAAGATAAGTATTTTTTTATTTCCTTGTCTCCTGTTATCAAATTTCCCATAGCTAATATTTGTGCCCCATTTCTTGTTACTCTTTATACCTCATTCAGACCCTTTCCTGAGCACAACATGAATTCTTGTGTCTTTGTGACTCCTCATTTTGTGTGAGCAAGAATTTCCGTCTCTCAAATTCTCATTGGAAATGCCTGATAAATTTCTGTTTTAAAACATCAGCTTAAAATTGGACAAAGCTGTGAAAATATCCTGTGATTCTCATACAAACACAATTCCTTATACAGTTGGTGTATGGTTTTTTACATTTAATTAAAAGAAAATATAAAAATTTATATGTAGATAGGTGCTAATATATAACTATATTTGACTGAACAAAGATTTACTGAGAACCTACTATATGCCATGAACTCTTTTGAACACATAAAATAGAGTCATGAAAAAAGAAAAGTTCCATGCTTTATGGAGTTTATGGTTTAACTGAAAGGGAGACTAATAAACATGATAATTAAGTAATCTATAGTTGGTTTGATAGTGATAAATACTAAGGGGAAAACGGAATTGGAAAAAGAAATAAGAAGTTTTGTTAGGGAAGGGGTTTTCAATATTAGATAGCATAGCTAGGAAATCCTCCCTGAGCAAAAGAGTAAAAATGTAAAGAAGTAAATGTATAAACCAGGAAGAATGCTGGGAGAAGAGCAACCTAGTGCAGGCCTTAAAATAGGATCATGCGTGGCATGTTTAAAAATAACAAATAGAAGAGTGTGGCTGGGGTTGAGTAAATCTGGTTAACCTGAGGTCAGAGAAACAAAAGGAGCCAAATAACGCAGGACTTTTAGGGCCTTGTGAAAACCTCAAAACACTTTTACTCTGGAATTCAGTTTTTGGCCAGAATTGCGTATCAGGGACTGCATTTACCTTAACTCCTGTTTTCAGTAACTAGACAAATAACAAAATAAATGATATAAAAATTTTCCTGTCTTATACAATAAGAAATGCAGGATGGTGATTCCCAAGAGAAGGGAAAAGAGTGAGATGAGCCCTATAATAATTATCTCACCTTATTATGAGGAAAAAATGTACAAATTGCAACAGAGAAAGGAAGCGTTTAAATAGAATAAGCAATTCCCTTAATTGAAGAGATATAGTTGAGATTAATGGATGGAAGCCTCTAAAATTAATACCTAATACTGAAGAGGAAAAGATTTCAAAGATAGGAAGGAATTGCACAGGGAAGGAATTCTGGAGATCTAAAGAGGGTTATCTTTAATTATCTGCTGAGTTTTGATTAGCAGGAATGAATGCAAGAAAACTCTATGAGGCTGGGGAAAGAACATCAGAAAGAAGCAGATGGTATAATGCCTGGAGCACAAACAGGACTGGGAATAGATCATGTTACCATCAGCCAGAGTGGAAATACCTTGTAGTATACATGGCATGGTTAGAATACTTAGAAAGGTATTGCTTGAGTAATGTGTTAAGTTTACCTATAAATGAATGAATTTTCTGTTCTGCATTTCCTAGTAAAGCTTTAAAGCAAGTCTAAAGTGAAAATTGTTTAAAAGCAACTTTACTATGACCTAGAACATAGCTCAATGATATTTAAATGAATAAAAAAATTCAGGGCTCAAACAAGCTAATCACAAGGTCTGTCAGCCAATAAAGAATTACCAGGCGTGTAACAAAGAAAGAAAACATGACTTGCAGTGAAGAAAAATAATCAATCAATACAAATAGTCCTAGAAGTGATACAAATGATAGAATTAGTAAACAATAATACAAATATGTGTTGTAACTATATTGTCTATGTTAAACTAGAGGGAGCATGAGTATATTTAAAAATACAATATCTGACATAAAAAGTACATAATTAACAGCATGCCAGATAATAAAGAAAAAAGTTAAGAAAATTGAAAATATAAGACTAAAACTATCAAAAATAATAGAGAAAAACTAAAAACACAGCACAGGATTTCAATGAACTGTAAAACAACCTTGAGTGTGTTAATACCTACAGATATAAACCAAAACTAAAATTGTAAGGAAGAAAATTGAAAATATAGGAATAAAAATGTCAAAAATAATAGAGAAAAACTAAGAAAACAACACAGGACTTAAATGAACTGTAAAACAACCTTGAGTGTGTTAATACCTACAGGTGCAAACCAAAACTAAAATTGTAAGGCCCCTGACCATCTGAACGGACTCCTCTCAGCAAGAACATTCCACAGCTAACCTGAAAAACTAGTTCAGGCCATGATGGGAAGCAGAGGGTTAAACATGCCTCTTTATACTCTCGTCCCTGTTGGAATTACTGATAGAACAGACTCTTTAAGTCTGATAAGAAACATTTACAGTCTATTTTCTCCAAAGCCTGCTACATGGAAGCTTCACCTGCATGATAGAACCTTGGTGTCCACATCCCCTTATCTTAACCCAGTCTTTCCTAAGTCTTTAGACAATAACCTAACTTTTTGACTCAATTGGCAATCAGACAATTGTTGAATCTATCTATGACTTGGAAGCCCCTGTTTCCAGTTGTCCCACCTTTCTGGACAAAACCAATGTATAACATAGCTTACATGTAGTGATCAATGTCTCATGTCTCCCTAAAATGTATAAAACTAAGCTGTACCCTGACTGCCTTGGGGACGTGTTCTCAGGATCTCCTATGGTCTGTGTCAAAGGCCATTGGTCACTCATTTTTGACTCAGAATAAACCTCTTCAAATATTTTACAGTTTGATTATTTTTGTGAACAATAATTTGTTGCCTGAGCATGTGGGGCCTCAGAGAAGACTCAGGACCCTGAAGGAGTTGCCCAAACTTGGAGCTAGGGTACAAGCAGGGGCCCATTGAAAGCCTCCCTGACTTTGAGCTTCTCCTCTAGTGAAACTGGCAAGTCCTCCTGAGCCCTGAACGTCCCTTTGGTTGAGGGTCCTTGATTTATTCTGAGCTGCATTTTTTTTTCGTGCTAGGAAGTTGTTTAGGATCCTGATTCTATTTGAGAGGTGCATTTTTTTTTTTTTTTTTTTTAGACGGAGTGTCGCTCTTTTTGCCCAGGCTGGAGTGCAATGGCGCGATCTCGGCTCACCGCAACCTCCGCCTCCCGGGTTCAAGAGATTCTCCTACAGAGGTGCATTCTACAGGATCTTTTCCATTGCCTTTTTTTAAAGACAAGGAGAATAACCTCCTTTTGGGCAACCTGTTTGGTTTCCAGTTCAGAGAGGTGCATTCTAAAGGGTCTTCTCCATTGCTTTTTCTCCCAAATTAGCACAATTGTCTTGTCTGCATATTCATGTGAGGAACTGAACTGTTGTTTTCCTAGATAAATGAGAGGCTGAGTTTTCTCAGTTCCGAAGAGAAAGGGCATTTTGCTCCTCCCAGCCGAAAGGTGCCCCTGGGTGACCAGAAGCCAAGTGAGAGTATCTGGAGGGTTGACCTCCTGTGATGTGCAGCAGCCCTGCGGGGAACCCCCAACAACTTTAGTTTAAAAAGACTCATTAAGGAAATGTATATGGGAGCTGGTCACTCCATGTTTTGAACCTTCTTGGTGGTAGGAGACCTCTGAAGAGAGAAACCAAGGCATGTAAGAGGGCGGAAATGACTCAGTGGTGAAACACTGTGGAGTCCCACCCACTATCAAGACAGGTCAATCCACTATGCTAAACTTGTCATACAATTTAGAATCTAAGATTATATTAAAAAATAGACATTAATTAAATGTCTGGGTAATTTCCAATTTTAAAAATACAGAAAAATATTTTAAACAGTGTTTTTTTATTAAGAGGTAAATATTTTTTGTCTAATTCAAAGGTTATTTAGAGGTATATAAAATGAAGTAAAAGGAACCAGAAAATAAGAGAAATATAAGGAAAGTTATAGATATAAAAAGATACTTTTGGTAAGAAGAAAAATGTTAGTAGAAATTCAACTTTATATTAGTAATAATCTTATATTTTGAATTTTTTCTTCTAAAATAATAAGGCTGGTTGTTCAAGAAGCATTTCTTTTTGCAGTTCTTCAGATTGATATCCCAGAAGTTTGATGCTTTCTCTGTTTTGAAAAGGCCTGAGATGGTAGATAACTCTCCTTCACCTTTTGTTGGCTCCTATAACATCTCTTTATTAATAATCTAAAGTAAGTGAGAGAATTTTTTCAAAACAGCCAAATGAAAAATCTTTTGGACTGGCCTTTGTATGTCTATTACATTTATATATTTGTATGTGTCACGTGGAAGTGATGTTTCACTACCAAATTATTTGAAAAAGCTCTAATCTATTGGCTTAAAGAAAAGTCAGTGCTTAGCAGGCTAATAGAGGCTAACTCAGATACCTTTTATTTCACATGACTTGGGTAATCTTTGGTAAGATTACTTTGGTAAATTTAATCTCAAAATTCTCTCCAGTAATTTAAAATCTTAAAGTCATGGTTTGTTAAACCATGTTTTTTCACTGGGAATGGGGTTACTAAGAGTTAAAATAGTAGGAGAGTGAAAGGTGTTTCTGATGAAGTTTATAAAACACAAAGATGTATTTTTTTTGCTAAAGAAAAGTGTATTTTTTTCTTGTTTAAAGACTATTTAAGAGTCATTTTTAAATGAAGGAAAAATTATACAGAAAAAACTAAATGGATTAAGAGAAAATGAAAAGATGTGGAATGAGAAACCTTGACTCTTGGGTGGCCGTGTGGTTGCCCATCTTCAGGAGCTTTAGCTGGGCTGCATTCAGTTACTAAAGATAAAAGTTACCAGTGGAATTTAGAGCTGTATCATACCCATACTCTCAGGGAATTAGTTCACCCAATGCATGAGGAAATGCAAACTAATAAGAAAAACGCAAAATATTCAATCACTTGCTTATTGTTATCTATAAATAGCTAAAATGAAAGTAAAAGCATGCTGGGTTGGGTCTTCAGGCTAGACCAAGCTCAGATATGGGAATGTCTCAGCT
Organism: Homo sapiens; assembly: GCF_000001405.40. Taxonomy (NCBI): domain Eukaryota; kingdom Metazoa; phylum Chordata; class Mammalia; order Primates; family Hominidae; genus Homo; species Homo sapiens. Next base: position 102,309 of record NW_013171801.1, on the reverse strand, counting down.
CAGGCCACTAACCTCAAAGCTACCCAAAAGAAAACTATTAACCCAGAGCAACAAAAAGTTACCTCTGAGACCTGTGGTTACTAAAAGGATAGTCAATGTGGGGGAAAGGCAAAATCAAGTAAGTACAAAATCCAGAGGGTATAATTGCATTTTGTAAATTGGTATCATCTCCTTCATGAGAAATCTTTCTGATAATGGATTGTAAAAATAACTACTTTAAGGACAGTATCCTTAATTTTAAATGCTATGGAATGAAAAAGTATGTTTGGGTTAATTCAGGCTCCACAGCTCACTATTAAAGAATTGTTGATGCGTATATGTGATCCATATGCACAGGAGGTCATTCCAGAAAGAATGACCAGCCTAGTGGACTGGATAAACACCACTGTAAGGTCTGTTTTTCCTAAGAAGGGGACTGCCCAACTCTCCCTATAAAATGCCAAGTGCAGCACCAAGATGAAGCAGCTGATATGCTTCATATGCAAGCCATGTGGGACTGGCTTTATGATAGCTGGCATATTCACCCACTGAATATCCCTATTATCCAGTCATGGTAAATGCTGGGGTTAAGAGGGTTTGTTTTATGTGGGCACTCAAGGTGACATTACTCCTGCAGAATCATACAACTGTTTGAGAAGACTCATCATGAAGGACTTTGCTGACCCTCATGAAACTTACAGATTCTTAATAAAACATCAGGATATGGCTGGGCACAGTGGCTAATGCCTGTAATCCCAGCACTTTGGAAGGCCGAGGTGGGCAGATCACCTGAGGTCAGGAGTTCGAGACAAGCCCGGCCAACACGGTGAAACCCTGTCTCCACCAACAAAACAAAACAAAACAAAACAAAAAACAAAAATTAGCCAGGTGTGGTGGTGGGCACCTGTAATCCCAGCCACACAGGAGGCTGAGGCAGGAGAATCGCCTGAACCTGGGAGGTGGAGGTTGCAGTGAGCCAAGATCATGCCATTGCACTCCAGCCTGTGTGACAAGAGTGAAACTCTGTCTCAAACAACAACAACAACAAGCAAGCAAATAAAAAGCATTAGGATAAGAAGTAAATGCAGTAAATGGAACTCGGAACCAGAAGCCATACAAGAAATCAATGAAACCAAAAGTTAGTTTTTTCAAAAGATAAATGAGATCAATAGACTGCCAGCTAGATTAATAAGAAAAAATAAAAGACAAGGTTCAAATAAGAACCAACAGAAATGACAAAGGTGACTTTACAACTGAGTCCACAGAATTGCAAAGATCCTTAGAGACAATTATGAACACCTCTATGCACACAACTAGTAAACCAAGCAGAAATGAATAAGTTCCTAGAAACAGACAATCTCTCAAGATTGAACCAGGAAGAAATGGATACCTGGAACAGACAAATATTGAGTTTAATTATTGAGTCAGTAATTCAAAACCTACCAATCAAAAAAAAAAAAAAAGCCCCAGACCACATGGATTCACAGCTTAATTCTACCAGACATACTGAGAGCTGGTATCAATTATACTAAAGCTTTTCCAAAAAACTGAGGAGGAGAGATTCCTCCCTAACTCATCTGTTAAGCCAGAATCACTGCAATAGCAAAACCTAGCAAAGACACACACAGACACACACACAAACACACCCACACACACACACACAAGAAAACTATAGGCCAATATACTCGATGCATATAGATGCAAAATCCTCACCAAAATACTAGCAAACCGATACCAACAGCACATCGAAAAGTTAATTCACCATTATCAAGCAGGCTTCATTCCAGAGATGCAAGATTGGTTCACCATACATAAATCAATAAATGTGATTTGCCACATAAACAGAAGTAAAAGCAAAAACCATATAATCTTAACAGATGCAGAAAGAGCTTTTGATAAAACTCAACGTTCCTTCATGATAAAAACCCTTAACGATCTAGACATCGAAGGAACATATCTTGAAATAAAAAGAACTAGCTGTGACAAACCCACAGCCATCATCATGCTGAATGGGCAAAAACTAGAAGCATTCACCTTGAGAACTGGAGCAAGACAAGGATGTCCAATCACACCACTCCTATTCAACATAATATTGAAAGAAATAGAAAGAGCTATCAACAAGATATAGTAATAAAAAACTAGGAAAAGTGGAAGTCAAATTCTCTCTCTTCATGGAAATTTGATTCAATACCTACAAAACCCTAAAGGCTCCACCAAAAGACTCCTGGAACTGATAAACCACTTCAGTACAGTTTCAGGAAACAAAATTAATGGACACAGATCAGTAGCATTTCTATTCATGAATCATATGCAAGGTGTCAAATCAAGAACACAATCTCATTTACAATAGCCACACACACACAAAATAAAAACCTATAAATACATCTAACCAAGGAGATGAAAGATTTCTACAGGGAGAACTACAAAACATTGTTGAAAGAAATCACAAAAGACACAAACAAATGGAAAACATTCCATGCTCATGGATTAGAAGAATCAATATTATTAAAATGGCTACATTGTCCAAAACAATATACAGATTCAATGCCATTCCTATGAAATTGCCATCATTTTACACAAGAGTGGAGAAACTATTCTACAACTCATATGTAACCAAAAATTCACAATGGATTTGTACTTGTTATTTCTTCTGCTTGAAAATGTCTTTCTTCATGCTTACTCCCATATTTAAATTATATCTTTTCTAAAAGGTCACCTATACCAGAGAGGTTATCCTTGACTATCCTATTTGAGGCTGCTTCTATATCCTAGTCCTGCTTTACACTTCTTTAGCACACTTATTATTGCCTAAGTCATGTGTTCTTTGTTTACTTTTTGTCTGCATCTCCCAATTGCAATGTAAAAGCTCTGACAACAGGGCTCTGACTCTTTTTCTGTGACTGCAGCCTCTAGAACAGTATCTGACAGCTGGTATCACTCAATAAATTTTTGTTCAATGGCTATATTGACAAACTGATAGAGAGCATTAGATGGTTTGTGTTCTGAGTGCCTGCCTACTGCTGTGGAGTGACATGGGGGTCATCTTCTGGACTGTAGGGCCTGAGATAAGAAATGTGGGAATGTACAAGGCTAAGAAATGTGCTGTGGCAAAGGACACCAGAAACAAATCAAATGTTCGTATCAGTAGGTCTAGTAATCTAGATGTGATTGAGGACCATATGTTTGTAACACAAAATGAATATAACATGCTAAATTAAAAATAATCATTTCAAAAGAGCTATGGTATAAAGTACTATAGTCAGTGCTACTCAAACTGGGAAAACGAAGTGAAGAAAGAAATCTTTATATATGTAAATATAAAAAAGAGAAATAAAGAGCATACACATAATAATGTGCTAGAAATTTATTGCTTTTGGAGAGGAATGAATTTCTATTACTCAGAAACAGCAGTGAAAACAGCTTAACAGTTTAAATTGCAAGTATCTAATCAAATGATAATTAGGAAGGGAAGTATCATGAAACACAGAATTCACTAAATCATGGTCTTTCTTTTATTCTCCATTGCCTTATGATAATTCTTCAAAAAGCAGTGGTAGTGTGATGCGGTATGATGAATGAGAATAAATGAGTAAAAAGTGAATTTGCCAGTCAAACCTGTGAAGAAAAAGAAAATAACACTTTATCTTCAAAATGGATACTCCTATAAATAAATTTATACTCTTGCTGGCAGAAAGTATGTATTTATAGATAGTTTTATTTATTATAATGCAGGGACCAAAATACTATTTGATATAGAGTAGACAATTAAATACTCATTAAGTGGGTATCAGAATAAATAAAAATTATCATTCAGCATTTGCAATTAAATTTAAATTTTTCTTGAGGTTTTCCATCATCATCTTACTTTATTCTTCCACTTAAATATAGCCTACACATTTCATCTATCTCCCCCAAATAATATTTTAAATATATCCTCCCCTGATTAAATGTCATCAGCAATTATCTAACACCTGGAGGATAAAGATCAGGCTTTTTCTGATATCACAAAGAGCAGGAATTCAATATGAATAAAATGTCCCAATACATTAAAAAATATTTGACACCTTTTGAACTATTTCAGCTTTGAATTGTAGAACAGTACTCTGTTATCTCCAAAATATTGCTTTATTTTGAAATGTAATCTTTAGTATCTCATAGATTTTGGAACATTTTATGCTGTGAATATAGATAAATAAAACTGACTTTATGAAAAGGAAATTGTTACCATTTTCTATTTCCTTGAAAATTCCCATCTCCTTGTTGATGTTATATTAGTCATTCCTATAGCAATTGCTCATTAGAGTTGCTTAGGCATAAAATGTAAATTTTTTATGAGTTCCCAGATGGTGGTTGTGCAACTTCTTCAAAGATTTCATTTTAGGACAGAAAACTTCAAATAACATCCATGTACAGTGTTAGTGGCAGAGAAGCCTATGGCCACAACCATACACCTTCCAGAACAAGGGCTTCTATATAATGTCTCTCAATAGTCTTTCCAACTCTATAAAAAGCTTAAGTAGTATTATAATATGTATTTGTCGATTAGAAAACTGAGGTATGGAGAAGATTAGGAATAGTTCCAGGTCAGAACTGGAACTATAGTTCCTACCCAGAACTCAGCATCTTAACACTGGTGAACAGAAGCTTTCCCTCGGAGGCATTTTTATTTTATTTCATTTTATTTTTTAATTTTACTTTAAGTTCTAGAATACATATGCAGAACATGCAGTTCTGTTACATAGGTATATGTGTGCCATGGTGGTTTGCTGCACCTATTGATCAGTCCTCTGTTACCTTCCCTTACTCCCTCCCCTCCATCCCTGGTTTGTGTTGTCCCCTCCCTGTCTTCACGTGTTCTCACTGTTCAGCTCCCACTTATGAGTGAGACCTTGTGCTGTTTCCTTTCTGTTCCTGTGTTAGTTTGCTGAGGATGATGGCTTCCAGCTTCATCCATGTCCCTGCAAAGGACAGGATCTCATTCCTTTGTATGGCTGCATAGTACTCCATGGTGTATATGTACCACATTTTCTTTATCCAGTCTATCATTAATGGTCATTTGGGTTGGTTCCATGTCTTTGCTATTGTAAATAGTGCTGCAATAAACATATGTAGGCATATGTCTTTATAGTAGAATGATTTACGTTCCTTTGGGTATATACCCAGTCATGGGATTGCTGCATCAAATGGTATTTCCGGTTCTAGATCCTTGAGGAATCACCATACTGTCTTCCACAATGGTTGAACTAATTTACATTCTCACACACAGTGTAAAAGTGTTCTTGTCTCTCCACAGCATCACCTGCATCTATTGTTTCTTGACTTTTTAATAATCAGCATTCTGACTGGTAGTGAGATGGTATCTCATTGTGATTTTTATTTGCATTTCTCTAATGATCAGTGATGATAAGCTTTTTTTCTTGTTTGTTGGCTGCATGAATGTCTTCTTCTGAGAACTATCTGTTCATGTCCTTTGCCCACTTTTAGATGGGGTTGTTTGTTTTTGTCTTGTAAATTTGTTTAAGTTCCTTGTAGATTCTGGATATTAGAGCTCGACAGATGAGTAGATTGCAAACATTTTCTCCCATTCTCTAGGTTGCCTGTTCACTCTGATGATAGTTTCTTTTGTTGTGCAGAAGCTCTTTAGTTTAATTAGATCCCATTTGTCAATTTTGGCTTTTGTTGCAATTGCTTTTGGCATTTTTTTACATGAAGTCTTTGCCAACGGCTGTCCTGAATGGTATCACCTAAGTTTTCTTCTCAGGTTTTCATGGTTTGGGGTATTACATTTAAGTTTTTAATCTGTCTTGAGTTAATTTTTGTATAAGGTGTAAGGAAGGGGTCCAGTTTCGGTTTTCTGCATATGGCTACCCAGTTTTCTCAGCATCATTTATTCAATAGGAGATCCTTTCTTGATTACTTGTTTTGTCAGGTTTGTTGAATATCAGATGGCAAGCAGAGACCCAAATCATGAATGAACTCCCATTCACAATTGCTACAAAGAGAATAAAATACCTAGAAATACAGCTAACAAAGGATGTGAAGGACCTCTTCAAGGAGAACTACAAACCACTGCTCAAGGAAATAAGAAAGGACACAAACAAATGGAAAAACATTCCATTCTCATGGATAAGAAAAATCATTATCATGAAAATGGCCATACTGATCAAAGTAATTTATAGATTCAATGCTATTCCCATCAAATGACCATTGACATTCTTCACAGAATTAGAAATAACTACTTTAAATTTCATATGGATCCAAAGAAAAGCTCATATACCCAAGACAATTGTAAGCAAAAGAACAAAGCTGAAGGCATCACACTACCTGACTTCAAACTATACTACAAAGCTACAGTTACCAAAACAGCATGGTACCAGTACCAAAACAACATACAGACCAATGGCACAGAACAGAGACCTCAGAAATAACACCACATATCTACAGCTTCAGAAGCATTTATACAAATGAATACACTTCAAGGAGCTAACCCATGCTACATTTCTTAAACTGGAATGGTTGTTAGCTTATGGCTTTTTTTTTAAACTGTCAGTGTTGACACTTCTAGAAAGACAAGCAACTAGAGTCAGCTTACCTCTATAATCATGCCCCATGATTACTAAGGATATCAATTGTCATATAGATAATTTGATCCATAGTCCCCATAAAATGGAAATTCTCGATGTGAATGATGCTTTTCCTGCATACACACAAAAGGAGAGAGCAAATTGCAGAGAATAGAGAATGACAATACAAGTGTTTCTCAAAAACTGTCATTAAAAGCTTAGATTGCTAAAGTTGTTAAGACCTTGTATTTTATCTACATAAATGTTTTCAAACTTTTACATTTTTCTTTTTTATCAGAAAAATGTCTAAAAGTAGGTAAAAATGATAAAGTATTTACTGTTTGCTGATATTTTTGTGACAATAGCACAGGTGGAAACACTGATTATAGGTAACCTCTCTAACCAGGGTTCAAATCTTCTTTAAAATATTACCTCCAAGCTACTATTTTGCTCACTATTGAGTATTATGGAAAGGATTAAGTTACTGTTTCCAACTTAGGTGGTGCTTCTTAATGTCATTCCTTTAGTGATCTTACTTTCCTTTACAACTCCTACATTCTTTCATACCCACTGCTGTTAACACAAACAGTCTTCATCCATTTTTATGCATCTTTTTACTTGGTGCTTTTTTAACATGTATACTTGCTATGTTAGTAAGGAGAACTTTAGAACCCAGATTCATATTGATATTACAGGTCAAAATAACATGAGACTTTATATACATACAGTGAGAAAAATGTTAGAGAAATACAATTTTCTGTCTAATTTAGCACAGTCAGTTTAATTTAAAGACTGTATCATCCTCAAAAATTCAGAAGGTAGAAACTTACCACATTACATGAGTAGCCTCTATGCTTTATTAAGCATATGTTATACTTAATAGAATTAGGATTTCAACTATTCTTTAGGTCAATGAAATTATTTACAGGACAAAGATAAGTTCTCAGAGAATAATTGACAATTGACTTATTTCAGGTGGAATTGAGTTTCTGTTGAAATGCTTTTAGGACACAAGATATTTGTGACTTTTTGCCTTTGCATCATAAATAAATGAAATCAATGTGCACTTTAGCAATTAATGATATAGATATATTTGAGAGACAACTATTGATTCTTCTAGGAGAATAAATAGTCAGAGAGGAAAATTTATTTAGAGTGCACATTATCAGAAGAACACTTACATGGAATTTTCTTCTATACCCATGATGTCTCTATGAAATAAAAAGAAAAGATTAAAAATTCAATATATGTTTATTTATCAAGTTTTCCCGTAAATGAAAATGTCTTACCTTTTCATGTGAATCAGCGCTCTTGGAAAAAAAGAAAATGAGAAAATAATTAATATTTTAATTTTATAATTCAAGAGTAAGTATAAATATTGACTTAGCCACATATATGATTAAACAGAATGGAGGCATTCTTTGGTTGATGACAGACTAAATTAGTTATTTTAGCTTTATGACATCTTCAAAATGAGTGAGGGGTAAATGCTATAATTAATGTGCTATATTCAAATATCAACTCATTTTGGTTTATATATCTTTTTTATGTAAGGCAGGAAAAGTCTGTCACTGGTGAATAAGAGAGTGGAAACTGAAAAATGAAACTCTGGATTGTTTTTTATATGAATATGTTCCATGTAGCTCAAAAGCTACCAACATACAAATATTTTATTTGCTGATAGAGACAGGCATTATGCTTTACTCTGTTCTTATTTGTTTATTTTTCTACTTCTATCCTTTTATAATAAAATCACGTGATAAACTGTGATATCATAACCAATTCAGTTTCGAAACATTCATTAGAATTTAGTGGATAGTTTGGAGTATTATTATTCTTTTGTGACCAATTTTCTATTAAGTTCATAGAAAGAGGAGGAGGAGGAGGAGGAGGAAGAGGCGGTGGAAGTAGAGAAGGAGAAAGAGCTCCAAAGAGGTCAAGTGCTTTTCCTACTAATACACAGTAGTAAATGACAATAGAGCTGGGAACTCATGACACTTAATAAATATGGAGATTTGTTTTATGGTTTAAAATAAGCAGCTTTATTTTAGGAAGAATTAAATAATTGTATGCTGACTTTAAGAGTAGGTTGTGCAAGAAATGACTTGAAAATTCCTATTTTGACACCCTCTAATACTTGGGTTCCATTGAAGTGCACCTTTTTCTTTCCTCAGATTTCTAACTTCAGATGGTCTAGAGCTTTTCACATTTAAAGATACTTTCACAGATCTTAGTCCCACATATTTAAAAAGCTCGCTAAATTTTCTTTTACTTTTACATTCAAGTAATTGTACTTGAGTGTTTGTAGGTATGTGATGAATATCTATTCCAAGTCCTTAAAGAACTTACATAAGTTAATTCAAAGAAACTCCTTGTAGGGAAATATTAAAGCTTATAAAGCTGTATTGAGGTCAACATGAGTATATACCAGAACACAAGGAATAAGAGAGACACTTGGGATAAGTACTGAGAATGTAGTATTTAAAATTTCCAGATATACTTACAATCATGGAAATCATGAGAGCCAAGACTAAAGCAAAGACAAAAAACTTCATAGTTGGCTGAGTCCTATAAAATCAAACATGAAAAATCAGTAATCACATTCTTTCATGCATTCATTCATCAAACTTCTATTGATGACACTATGCTTCAAAGCATTGGGAGACATGCTCTGTTTTCCAGGCTGGAGTGCAGGGGCATGAGCACAGATCACTGCAGCCTGGACCATCTGGTCTCAAGCCATCCTCCCACCTTAGCCTCCCTAGTCCCACTTGTAGCTGGAACTACAAGTGTGTGCCACCATGCCCAGCGAATTTTTTCTTTCTTTTTTTTTTTTTTAGTAGAGAATGTTTTTAGTCTCACTATATTTCCCAGGCAGTTCTGAAACTCCTGGGCTCTAGGAATCTTCCTGCCTTGTCTTCTCAAAATGCTTGGATTACAGGTGTGAGCCCCAGGCATGGCCTCATGAATTGATAAGTAAAGGTGAGTGCTCTGATTTGGAAATATTAATATGCTAATGAAACACACAAATGGACATCTTAAACAGACCAAGAGGATGGGAGTAAGAAGGTAATGAAGAAAGGCAAGCTTGAGTTGGATTATATGGAATGAGTAAAGGGTGGTGTTGGGAGCCTATAAAGAAATAAAACAGAGAGGAAAGCATGTTAAAAATGCAAACAGTTCAACACATAGGGAGGACAAAACTGGAGAAAAGATGACCACTTAGGTTGTTGTGACACTACAGGGGACTTATATAATGACATTAAGAATGCTAATTAAGGTACAGTGTAAAGAGATATTAGGAAAGTAGAATGAAAAGCAATGGAGACTGGCTTTATAATAAAGTCAGTGACTATGAGCCAGAGTTCTATTACAGAATCCACAGATGGTGTAACCCTGAGATTAGAACATTAGTGATATTGGGTAGCGAAAAATAAAATGAAGAGAATTCACAGGGAAAATGATTGTATCTACTTTGAGAAGTTGAACTGGTGAAGATTATTCAATATTTCAAATAATATTATTCAACAAAGTTAGCCTCATCTGGGACTCTGATATGCTTTTATAATTATGTATATGCAAGTGTATCCAGTTCCTTTGCAGATATAAAAAAGTATAGCAGGTTACTTATTTCTAAATTACAAACGTAAATAAAAGCATTTCCATTGGAAAATACAATTACCACAAGACTTACAGTTACATGGCATTTTTGGCTGTTAATTGCAGTTATAAAGTAATTCATTAATAGGTAATTTAAAAATTTTTTTCTAATCTCTCTTTCCTGTCATTTGTGATATAACATTACAGTAACATTTTTCATCTAATTATAATAAAATGTCCTGCTCTTAAACAGCCCTACATCTCTATCATGAAAAGCAGAACCCAAGATTTATGGCATTTACCATATTATTTATTCGTTTATTTTGCTTCACTCAATTAAATGGAAACTTCTACTATAGGACTAACTATAAAAATTATGTATTTTGAAGTTTTTCTATTACCTAATATATAAATCCTACTACAACTCTTTTTATGATACAAAAGGCATGAGAATTTTACTGTTGTTAATGATTGTCAATTCTGTTGCAAGTACAAAATAAAAAAGGGTTCTAAGAAATTGGTCTTCTTTTACTAACACATAAACTGATAGATAAACGAACATAGATAATCAATATACAATTAATGGTTATGAAAAACATATTTCCCAAGTAACACATCAATAAAAATTTGGAACAGTAAACTCTTTCTTTTCTGCCATAACACAAATGAATGAAAATGAGTTAAACAAATTAGTAAGATTGAGATGACTAACTCTTATACAGTATATGCTTTGCATTATAACAGCACTGTTTTAAATGATGGAAAGGTCAATAAAAAAGTAATAAAATAGTTTCCTATTAAGAAGAAAGTAAATTTTTAAAAATAAACCTTTATAATAATATATTTACCAAGAGAGAATTTATCAGTATCTTCTTGTAAAATTTGAACTCCTGGTTTAAGTTAAATGTAGAATTAATAATTAAGAAAGTAGATATTAGGTATCTAGACAAGGAAATAAAAAGAGTTAATTGAGGTCCCACCATCAGAGAGGATGTAATACATTGCCATATTCCACATAATTTACTTTGCGTGATGATTGCTGGTGTTAATTCATAGGAATTGAGATCTGGAAGTCATCTTCAGATCCCGAGTACAAAATTGTACACATTACAGCATCAGGGCAAATAACTAATGCATGCGGGGCTTAAAACCTAGATGATGGGTTGATAGGTGCAGCAAACCACCATGGCACACGTTTACCAATGCAACAAATCTGCATGTCCTGCACACGTATCCCAGAACTTAAAGTAAAATAAGAAAGTAAAATAAAATAAAATAAAATGAATTTGTGTGTGAGTTTTTAAAGGAAATATTTATTAGATAAATCATCTATGCTAATTTGAACAGTCCTATTAGAAATTATGGTATTCTATAGGTAATATACAAAAATGTAAATTATTTATTTAGGCAAATACGCAATTCAAGTAAACTAGATTTAAATAGATAATATACATTTTCATAAGTGGGTTACTATTGATTTTAGCAAACAAAAGCTTATGCTAATATATAATATTAGATTGTACTTGAACATATTACCTTTTACTCAAGAGGAGAGTCAAGAAGTCAGTGAAGCTGAAGTGAAGTCTCAAGAGATGTCCTTTTCTATATGGCTGATGTATTTAAACACGTTGAAATCTCCCTTTTGTTTTTCTAAATAGCATCAATTAGGAGATCATATGATTGAGACGGAAAGTAATGCCCAAAATCTGTCTCTACAAATTCTAAAAATAAACTTAACCAGGTGATTTTACAATAGATCATTGTGAAGACAAAGCAACCGGAAAGCGAATGGACCCATCACATGCTAATCCCAGTGTTAGTCTAGCCCTGAGTGAGTCAGACAACGGAAAAGCACGCTGGAGGAAACCAGGCATAGAAATGATTGCAGTGATAAAGATGTTTCTGTAGAATACCATCTACTACTTTTCAACAAATATATGTCCAAGATGGAACAACGCTATGTCAAAAATAATACTTACCATGTTATCAAAATTTTACACATTCTCTAGTAAATAGTGATAATTGGCATAATAAAATTGGAGTCATTCTATACTTCAAAAGTTTTCCTACAAATCATTATTTATCTTGTATTTTTACCTTTACATTGACTTTGAGTGTTTTAAGTAATAAAGTGAATGTAAACATTTGCCAAAATTCAATCATCTTTTGGATATCATATGATAAAAACATTCTCATATTTAATGTCAAAAGATTCTAGGTGCTTGGTCACATATCTCTCACATAAAACTGATTTCTTATGTTTAGAAATTTGAATTTACTTCCCTGGAGTTTTCTGAGGTTCATATATATTTATAGAGGCCATTTGTTGAAATAACTATATTAGACAGAAAGAGAAAAACAGAATTTTAATTTAATTCATAGGCAAACATGTATAAGCATTCACCTACTCTCTACCGGTTGGAGAATTTGATGTGCTAAGAACTGAGTATTAAAAACTCTTTTCTAAAGTTCAGATAAGTTATACAGCCCAGTCCATTGTTCCTCAGAGGGTGCCACATGCGACCATCATGATCAGCATCAGCTAGTAGCTGTTGAAATGCAGATTCTTATTCTACTTTTCCAAACTTACTGAGTCAGAATCTTGTGGTGTACACCTGGAACCGGAATTTTAAGAACATGTCCAGGAAACTCTTTGTGTACTTTAAAGATAGAAAAACTACTTAAGAGATTTATAAACGCATGGTCTTTAGCTTGATCCCACTAATTAGAAATTGTGTTTTAAATTTGTGTCTGATTCAGGGAAGGAAACAACGCCCACCAGGGCCTGGTGGTGGGGAAGGGAGGGAGAGCATCAGGGCAAATAGCTAATGCATGTGGGGCTTAAAACCTAGATGATGGGTTGATAGGTGCAGCAAACCACCATGGCACACGTTTACCAATGCAACAAATCTGCATGTTCTGCACACGTATCCCAGAACTTAAAGTAAAATAGGAAAGTAAAATAAAATAAAATAAAATGAATTTGTGTGTGAGTTTTTAAAGGAAATATTTCTTAGATAAATCATCTATGCTAATTTGAACAGTCCTATTAGAAATTATGGTATTCTATAGGTAATATACAAAAATGTAAATTATTTATTTAGGCAAATATGTAATTCAAGTATATTAGATTTAAATTGTTCTTTTGGCATGAAATTTCTAAGCATCAGAGATATAAGGTCTCTTCTCTGGCACAAAACAAACCCATTCTCTTTACATTCTCAATGAAACAAAGTTACATAGGATTCAGTGACTATTTTTTTTTAATAGGTACATAGGCTGCATTCATCACCCAGGCTGGAGTGCAGTGGTGCAATCATAGCTAACTGCAGTCTGGAACTACAGGGCTCAAGCAAACCTCCCCTCATACTCCTAAGTAGCTAGAGACACAGGTACGCACGACTGCACCAGCCTAAATTTTTAATTTTATTTTTTATAGAGATGGGTTTCACAATTTTGTCAACATTGTTCTTGAACTTTTGATTTCAGGTGGTCCTCGTGCCTAAGCCTTCCAGAGTGCTGGGATTACAGTCATGAGCCACTGCACCATCTCATGGTTCAGTAACTACTGAACTATGTCTGATTTAAAAAATATACCCTGCTTTAATTAATTACAAAATGTCAAGCGGTTTCCTTCCTTTCTTCTTTTCTTCTCTGCCTCCTCTCATTTCTTCCCTAGTTCGTTTTTCTAACAATATTAGGTACAGTTCCAGTGGATCTAAGATATTCATGTTCTAGTGCACAAAAAGCAAACTAATAGTCCAAAAGCACACTACCAAACAGCAAACTAACAGGTAAGATATGGCAGATGTCAATATACTCATTTAAAAACTACAATTAAACCTAAAGCATATACACTTTATGTTGGAACACCAAAATGTAGGCATTATTTCACCCATGATTTTCTGCTTCTCCAAGTTAGGAAGTGTGGTGATTATGTATGACAGGTGGAACAAGCATGGTGGCATAGAAATACAGTAGTGACCTTCTCATGCTAGGGATGGTCTCACCCTCCAGGAACAGTAAGCCATTTTAGAAGACTGATGGACCAGAACATGGCTTCATATTTTATAATTAAGTAAAACAGATATCTTGTCTTCTATAAGCAAACATCATGTTCTTTGAAAAGGCCATGCCTTTCAATTACAAGGGAAGTATCAACAAAGAGCCACTGTCTTATCACAGTTGTGGCAATACACTGGTTGCTTATGGATACAATCCATGAATGGGTTTTTATAGTGATATTTATGCTGGGTTTTTATCCTCCTTCTTCACCTTCTTCTGCTTCTCCCCCTCCTCCTCTTTCTCCTCTTCTTCTCTGGGCTCCTCTTCCTCCATTTTCTGCTTCTCCTCCTCCTCCTTATTCTCCGAATCTCCTGTGATGAAAATACTGCATGTTCTCACTCATAGGTGGGAATTGAACAATGAGAACACATGGACACAGGAAGGGGAACATCACACATCGGGGACTATTGTGGGGTGGGAGTAGTGGGGAGGGATAGCATTAGGAGATATACCTAATGCTAAATGACAAGTTAATGGGTGCAGCACACCAACATGGCACATGTATACATATATAACAAACCTGCACGTTGTGCACATGTACCCTAAAACTTAAAGTATAATAATAATAATAATAATAATAATAATAATAAAGAAAGTCATTGCAGACAAACTGATGGGGGGCATTAGATGGTTTGGGGTCTGTGTTCCCTTTACTGTGCAGTGACAATGAGTGGGGTGGGTGGGGGCTGGGGGGCGGTGCGGTTACCTTCTGTCTTGTAGAAACTGAGGTAAAAAATGTGAGAAACTTCCAGGGTGAGAAAATTAGGTGTACCAAAGGAAACCCAGAGCCAATCAAATGTCAGAATAAATAGGCCCAATAATCTAGCTGAGCTTAAGGATTATATGCTTGTAAAATATAAAATACTACAGACTAAATTAGGAATAATTGACTCTAAAGGACCTCTGACATAGAGTGCTTCAGTCAGTGCTTCTCAAACTGGGTAAAAGAAGTGATGTAAGGAATAGCTATATTTGTAAATATAGAAAATAGAAATAAAGAACTTTTGCATAAGAATTGTTTAAAATATATTGCACTTATAAAAAGAATGGACTTCTATTACTCAGAAACAGCACTGCAAACAGCTTAATGGTTTGAAATTGCAACTATCCAATCAAACATCCATTAGGAAGTCAGTCATCTTGAAACAGAGAAAATACACTAAATCATAGTCTTTCATTTTACTTTGTCTTTTTGGTAATTCAACCAACTCCTGTAGAAAACATTTATATTCTTCCTAGTGCAGCATAGCTATTTACAGATCATTTAGGCTAATATAATGCAGGGCTCAAAATAATATTTGACACATAATACGCAATTAAATACTTGTTAAATTGGTATCAGAATAAATAAAAATTATCATCCAACACCTGCAATTTAAATTTAAATTTCTCTTAAGTTCCATTATTATTCTATTTTTTCTCCCACTTAAATACAGCCTACATACTTTATTCATATTTATTTTCCCCAAATAATATTTTAAATGTATCCTTTCTTGATTAAATTTCATCAGCTATTATCAAATGCCTAGAAGATCAAGTTCAGGCTGTTTCCCATATCATTAATGTCAACAGGATATTCAATTGGAATAAAATCTCACAATGCACTGAGAAATATTTAAAATTCCATGAAATATTTCAACTTTGATGAATGTAGAAGTTATCTTTAATCTCTAAAAATTTGCTTTATTTTGTAGATAAATATTTAATATTGCACAGAATTCAGAACATTTAATGTTGTGTATAGTTAGATAAAACTGATATTCTAAAAATGAAATTGAAGACGTTTTTATATCTCCTTGTTGGTATTATACTAGTGATTCTTTCAGTAATTGCTCTTGGATTTACTTAGGGCATATAATGTAAATTTCCCACAATTTCCCATATAGTGCTTGTACATCTTCTCCAAAGATTGTGTTTTAGAAGGCATAGTTTTGAACAACATTCTGAAACAGAATTAGTGGCAGGGAAATCTGCAGTCATAACTGTACACCTTTCTAATCAGGGGATTTTACGTAATATATTTGTTAATAGTCTTCCCAATTCTAAAATGAGGTTAAGTATTATTATAATATCTATTTTGTTGATAAGAAAACTGATGTTTAAAGAAGATTAAGAAACTACTAATTTCAAGGTTGATATGGTTTGGCTGTGTCCCCACTGGAATCTCACCTTGAATTGTAATAAACCCCATATGTCAAAGGCAGGCCAGATGGAGATAATTGAATGGTGGGAGCATTTTCCTCCATACTGTTCTTGTGGTAGTGAATAAGTCTCAGGAGATCTGATGGTTCTATAAATGGGAGTCCTCCTGCACATGCCCTCATGTCTGCAGCCATGTAAGAAGTTCCTTTCCCCTTCCTTCGTCTTCTGCCATGATTGTGAGGTCTCCCCAGCCATGTGAAACTGTGAGTCCATTAACCCTCTTTCCTTTATAAATTACCCAGTTTTGGGTATGTCTTCTTAGCAGCATGAGAACGGACTAATACAGTAAAGAAACTAGTAGTTGTCAGGAACATGATACAAACTCAGGGTTCCTCCTCTCCAGAGTCCAGCCTCTTAACCACGACAGGACAGAAACTTTCTCTCAGAGGTGTTTATATAAATAAATACATTTCAAGGAGCTAAACCTTCCCACATCTCTTACTGGGTCTATTGTTTGTTTGATATCTCGTGTTTGTTTTCCTCTTTTAACTGTGAGCATGGATATTTTTGGAAAGTAAAGAATATCACTAGACCTAGCCTACTTTTATACTTATGTCCTGTGGTTACTGAGGAACACTGTAAGGCTATGGATAGGGATATAGGTAATATGGTGGATATGCTGGATATGGCCAATAGTCTGGATATGGCTGATGTTGGTTAGACCTTTCCTGCATACAGACACAAGAACTAGAGAAAGCTGTAGATAATTGGGACAGTGACAGTGCAAGAGTTTCACAATAATGTGTTTAAAAGCTTAGTTTGTTGTATCAACTGCAATTCGTATATCAACTGCAATATCATTTTTAAACTACTAGTTAGATTTATCATTTTTATAAAAAAATATGTAAAAGTAGGTAAAAATCATAAAGCATTTACCTTTTTACTCTTTGTTGCCAGTTCTTGTTTTACAGTACACATGGGAATACTGATTACAGGCAACCACTCCAAATGAGGATTAAAACTTTTTTTTTTATAATACTACCTTTAAGCTACTACTTTGCCCATCATTGAGTATTATGGGAAAGAAAAATTTAATACTTCCAACTTAAGTGGAGTTTCTCCATGTCACTACTGCATTCTTTAACTCTGCCTTCTCTTAACCCAAATAACTATCCTTCCCCAATGTTTATGTTTTTATTTAGTGCCATTTTATCAATGTATTTATTATATTACTAAGAAGAATTTTTTTAAACTCCATCACATTAAGATGAGAGATCAAACAATAATGACATATCAAAGATACACATTAAGAAATATATTAAAGAAATACTATATTCTATTTTATTTAGAATAGCCAGTTTAACTGAAAGACTTTATCACCATCAACAAATCAAATGATTGGAACTTCCCATATTACCTGTGTGATTGCCAGCACATGTAATATGGCAGTATAGGCATATATTATACTTAGTAGAATTGGCTTTTAACTATTATTTATGTCAACATAATTATTTACCAAATTTATTTTAGTTCTCAGAGAATAATTGACTTCTTTAAATTGGCATTATGAACTTCCACCTAAATTCTCTAAGACATGTGGGACTTTTGCCAATGTATCATGAGTAAGTGAAATTAATATACACTTTAGCCATTCATAATATACATATATTTCAAAAATGATCACAGATTATACCAGGAGATTAAATAATCAGAAAAGAACACTTGTTTGGACTGCACAACATTATCAAGAGAATCCTTGAAAGGAATTTTCTTTTACACTCATGATATTTCTGTGAAAATAAAGACAAGAGTAAAAATTCAATATGTGTTTGATTATTAAGTTTTCCTGTGAATGAAGGTGACTTACCTCTTCAGATACGTCAGCTCTCTTGGAAAAATGAAAAATGAGAGAATAGTTAGTATCTTAATTTTATAACTAAAGATCAAGTATAAAAGTTTTTTCACTTCTATCCTTTTATACAAAAATAATATGATAAACTCTGATATCATACATAGGTTGTTTCTTGAAACATCCCTTAGAACTTAGTGGACAAATTGAAGTGTCCACCTATCTGTACAAATCCATTGTATAATATATCTTACATGGATTTGATTGATGTCTCATGTCTCCCTAAAATGTATAAAACTAAGCTGTACCCTAGCCATTTTTGGGGACATGTTCTCAGAATCTCCTACGGTCTGTGTCAAAGGCCATTGGTCACTCATTTTTGACTCAGAATAAATCTCTTCAAATATTTTACAGAGTTTGATTCTTTTTGTCAACAACAATTTGTTGCCTGAACATGTGGGGCCTCAGAGAAGAGTCAGAACACTGAAGGAGTGGCCCAAACTTGGAGCTAGGGTACAAGCAAGGGCCCATTGAAAGCCTCCCTGATTTTGAGCTTCTCCTCTAGTGAAACTGGCAAGTCCTCCTGAGCCCTGAACATCCCTTTGGTTGCCGGTCCTTGATTTGTTCTGAGCTGCATTTTTTTTTCCTCCTAGGAAGTTGTTTAGGATTCTAATTCTATTTGAGAGGTGCATTCTAAAGGATCTTTTCCATTGCCTTTTTCTAAAGACAAGGAAAATGACCCCTTTTTGGGCAACCTGTTTGGTATCTGGTTCAGAGAGGTATATTCTAAAGGGTCTTCTCTACTGCTTTTTCTCCCCAAATTAAGCACAATTGTCTTGTCTGCACATTTGTGCGAGGAACTGAACTGTTGTTTTCGTAGATAAATGGGAGACTGAGTTTTCTCACTCTGAAGAGAAAAGGCATTTTGCCCCTCCCAGGCAAACGCTGCCCCTGGGTGACCAGAAGCCAAGTGAAAGTGTCTGGGGGTTTGACCCCCTGTGATGTACAGCAGCCCTGCAGGGAACCCCCAACAAAAGTAGTTAAACAAGGCTCATAGGTAAATGCATATGGGAGCTGGTTACTCCATCTTTTGAGCCTTCTTGGAGGTGCCAGACCTCTGAAGAGAGAAAACAAGGCATGTAAGAGGGCAGAAATAACTTAGGGGTGAAACACTGTGGATACGTACCCACTATCAGGACACTTCAATCCATTATATTAAAGTTGTCATATAATTTATAATCTGAGGTTATATTAAGTAATAGATATTAATTAAATGTCTGACTAATTTCCAATTTAAAAAATACAGAGAAACACGTTAAAAAGTGTTTTTTTTTATTAAAAGGTAAACATTTTTTATCTAATTCAAAGATTATTTAGAGGTATATAAAATGAAGTAAAAGGAAACAAGAGAAATGTAAGGAAAGTTATACATATTAAAAGGTACCTTTGGTAAACAAAAAGGATAATAGAAATTTAATTTTATATGAGAAATAATCTTATATTGTGATTTTTTCTTCTAAAATAATATGACTGTTTGCTCAAGAAACGTTTCTGTTTCTAATTCTTCAGATTGATATCCCTGAAGTTCGGTGCTTTCTCTCATTTGAAAAGGCCAGAGACGGTAATTTTCTCCTTCACCTTTTGTTGGCTCCTGTAACATTTCTTTATTAATAATCTAAAGTAAGGGAGCAAATTTTTTCAAAACAGCCAAATGAAAAATCTTCTGGACCTGCCTTTGTATGTCTGTTATATTTATATAATTGAATGTGTCACATGGAAGTGGTATCTCACTACCAAATTATTTGAAAGAGTTTTTATCTATTGGCTTAAAGAAAAGTCAGTGCTTATCAGACTAATAGAGGCTAACTCAGATGCCTTTCATTTCACATGACTTTGGTAATCTTTGGTAAGATTACTTTGGTAGTGGGCTGGCTTCCAAGATGGCCAAATAGAAACAGCTCTGGTCTGCAGCTCGCAGAGAGATCGACACAGAAGATGAGTGATTTCTGCATTTCCAACTGAGGTACCTGGTTCATCTCACTGGGACTGGTTGGACAGTGAGTGCAGCCCATGGAGGGTGAGTCAAAGCAGGGTGGTGGGTCGCCTCACCCGGGAAGCATAAGGGGTTGTGGGATTTCCCTTTCCTAGCCAAGAGAAACCGTGACTGACTGTACCTGGAGAAATGGTACACTCCTGAATAAATACTGTGCTTTTCCCACAGTCTTAGCAACCGGCAGACCAGGAGATACCTTCCCATGCCTGGCTTGGTGGGTCCCATGCCCACAGAGCCTTGCTCACTGCTAGCGCAGCAGTCTGAGATCTACCTGCGTGGCTGCTGCCTGGCAGGAAGAGGGCATCCACCATTGCTGAGGCTTGAGTAGCTCACAGTGTAAACAAAGAGGCCAGGAAGCACGAACTGGGTAGAGCCCACCACAGCTCAGCAAGGCCTACTGCTTCTATAGATTCCACCTCTGGGGCCACGACATATTAGAACAAAAGGCAGCAAACAGCTTCTTCAGACTTAAACATCCCCGTCTGACAGCTCTGAAGAGAGCATTGGTTCTCTGAGCATGGTGTTTGAGCCCTGAGAATGGACAGACTGCCTGCTCAAGCAGGTCCCTGACCCCCGTGTAGCCTGACTGGGTAACACCTCCCAGAATGGACTGACAGACACCTCAAACAGGTGGGTGCCCCTCTGGGACGACGCTCCCAGAGGAAGGATCAGGCAGCAATATTTGCTGTTCTGCAGCCTCCACTCGTGATACCCAGGCAAACAGGGTCTGGAGTGGACCTCCAGCAAACTCCAACAGACCTGCAGCTGAAGAGTCCGACTGTTAGAAGGAAAACTAACAAACAGAAAGGAATACCATCAACATCAACAAAAAGGTCATCCACACCAAAACCCCATCTGTAGGTCACCAACATCAAAGACCAAAGGTAGATAAAACCACAAAGATGGGGAGAAATCAGAGCAGAAAAGCTGAAAATTCCAAAAAACAGAGTGCCCCTTCTCCTCCAAAAGGATCATAGCTCCTTGCCAGCAAGGGAACAAAACTGGATGGAGAATGAGTTTGATGAGTTGACAAGTAGGCTTCAGAAGGTCGGTAATAACAAACTTCTCCGAGCTAAAGTTTCATGTTCTAACCCATCACAAGGAAGGTAAAAACCTTGAAAAAAGGTTAGACGAATGGCTATAATAAACTATGTAGAGAAGACCTTAAATGACCTGAGGGAACTGAAAACCATGGCACGAGAACTTCGTGATGCATGCACAAGCTTCAATGGTTGATTCGATCAAGTGGAAGAAAGGAAATTAGTGATTGAAGATCAAATTAATGAAATAAAGTGAGAAGACAAGATTAGAGAAAAAAGAGTGAGACGAAACAAACAAAGCCTCCAAGAAATATGGGACTATGTGAAAAGATCAAATATACCTTTGATTCATTTACCGGAAAGTGACGGGGAGAATGGAACCAAGTTAGAAAACACTCTTCAGGATATTATCCAGGAGAACTCCCCTAACCTGGCAAGGCAGGCCAACATTCAAATTCAGGAAATACAGAGAACACCACAAAGATAAATTAGTAATTAATAAATTAGTTTGACCATTGTGTAAAACAGTATGGCAATTCCTCAAGGATCTAGAACCAGCAATCCCATTACTGGGCATATACCCAAAGGATTATCAATCAATCATTCTACTATAAAGACATGTGCACATGTATGTTTATTGCAGCAGTATTCACAATAGCAAAGACTTGGAACCAACCAAAATGCCCATCAATGATAGATTGGATAAAGAAAATGTGGCAGATATACACAATGGAATACTATGCAGCCATGAAAAAGAATGAGTTCATGTCCATTATATGGACATGGATGAAGCTGGAAACCATCATTCTCAGCAAACTAACACAGGAACAGAAAACCAAGCACCACATGTTCTCACTCATAAGCAGGAGTTGAACACTGAGAACACATGGAAACAGCAGGGGGAACATCACACATCTGGGCCTGTTGTGGAGTGGGGGCTGAGGGGAGGAATAGCATTAGGAGAAATACCTAATGTAGATAATGGGTTGACAGGTGCAGCAAACCACCATGGCATGTGTATACCTATGTAACACACCTGCATGTTCTGCAAATGTATCCCAGAACTTAAATAATAAAAATCAAAACAAACACAAAATAAAAAGAGAAAATAAAGCGAGTTGTGATTTTTTTTTCCTGCTTTTTTTTTTTCAGGTTGCAGAGTAGAGACTTTTGACATGCTTCTGCCACTTGAAGGTAGTAAGATAGTTCATAAAGATCATGTCTCTGAGCTTTAATTCAAGGAGGAAAGTGGGATTGTATTGGAATCATGAAGGACACTTCAGGTCCTGCAGAGGAGAACAAGTGCAAACATACCCCATGATAACATTCAGCTGACCGAAGTGAGTGAAGCCCCAGTATGTGAGAGATGCAGAGCATCTCCCTCTGTGACTCACCTTTCCACTGAGAATCTGAGCGACCTAGCCCAAAGGAGAGCATTTTGTTTCTTCCAAGCCTTGAAGCTAACCTGGGGAGAGGCTATGAGACACTATGAAGGAAAGACACTGGGAACATCTGCAGACATTTTCACAGACCCAGGACTGATGGCAGGATGCCATTTTTAATACAGGTGCATACAAAGTCAGCCATTCTTTGGTGACTTGGGAACATGGCTATGCAGGCTTTTGAGTCTCAGGCCAGAGTTTAAACTGCCTGCTCTGGAGTGGGTTAAGAACCTTCATAGCCAGAATTATGGAAAGCACTGGAAAACTAGGCACCAGAATTGTGCTTTTGCCACCTCAAAATCATGGTGCAGAGGAGAGCTGCTAGAGCTGTTGTTTCTCTTTTGTGATGAGACATGCTGCAAGTACAAGATTGCTGACCTAGAACCAGTCTGCATGTGTCATTACTAGGTGCCCTCTCCTGCTACCCCAAGACTGTGGTGTGTAGGGCCGTCTCTGCTCTACTCCCAGGTAGAAATTCAGGCCTTTAGAGCCACTACTTGCCTGGAACATTAGTCTGAGCCACCACACCCTTTATGGACATAGATTGTGGTGTAGTGGGATCATTTCCTCTCCACATTCAGGCAGATCTCCAGGTACTGAGAACACAGTTTTGCCTGGATCAACAGCCTAAGCCACCCCGCCATTCCTGTGAGTAGGTCATGGTGCAGTGAGGACTTCTCTACTCCACATGTAGGCAGATCTCGAGGGAGAAGTAAATGAAACTTGGAACCAAAAACCATACAAGAAATCAATGAAACCAAAAGTCAGTTTTTTGAAGTACAAATAAGATCAATAAACTGCCAGCTACGTTAATAAAGAAGAAATAAAGGACAAGATTCAAATAAGAACAAACAGAAATGACAAAGGTAACTTTACAACTAAGCCCACAAAATTGCAAAGGTCCTCAGAGACAATTTTAAACACCTCTAAGAGCACAACTAAAATAGTGTGTCTGACAGTTGGTATCACTCAATAAACTTTTTTTTTTTTTTTTTTTAGTATTTATTGATCATTCTTGGGTGTTTCTCAGAGAGGGGGATTTGGCAGGGTCATAGGACAATAGTGGAGGGAAGGTCAGCAGATAAACATGTGAACAAGGGTCTCTGGTTTTCCTAGGCAGAGGACCCTGTGGCCTTCTGCAGTGTTTGTGTCCCTGGGTACTTGAGATTAGGGAGTGGTGATGACTCTTAACAAGCATGCTGCCTTCAAGCATCTGTGTAACAAAGCACATCTTGCACCGCCCTTAATCTATTTAACCCTGAGTGGACACAGCACGTTTCAGAGAGCACGGGGTTGGGGGTAAGGTTATAGATTAACAGCATCCCAAGGCAGAAGAATTTTTCTTAGTACAGAACAAAATGGAGTCTCCTATGTCTACTTCTTTCTACACAGACACAGCAACAATCTGATTTCTCTTTCTTTTCCCCACATTTCCCCCTTCTCTATTCGACAAAACCACCATCGTCACCATGGCCCGCTCTCAATGAGCTGTTGGGTACACCTCCCAGACGGGGTGGTGGCCAGGCAGAGGGGCTCCTCACTTCCCAGACAGGGCAGCTGGGCAGAGGTGCCCCCCACCTCCCAGATGGGGCGGCTGCCCGGCAGGGGCTGCCCCCCACCTCCCTCCTGGATGGGGCGGCTCGCCAGGTGGGGGCTGCCCCCCACCTCCTGGACGGGGCGACTGCTGGGCAGAGACGCTCTTCATTTCCCAGATGGGGCGGCTGCCGGGCGGAGGAGCTCCTCACTTCCCAGACGGGGCCGCTGCCAGGCAGAGGGGCTCCTCACTTCTCAGACGGGGTGGCCAGGCAGAGACGCTCCTCACCTCCCAGATGGGGTCGCAGCCGGGCAGAGGTGCTCCTCACATCCCAGATGGGGCAGCGGGGCAGAGGCGCTCCCCACATCTCAGACGATGGGAGGCTGGGCAGAGACGCTCCTCACTTCCCAGACAGGATGGCTGCCGGGAAGAGGCACTCCTCACTTCCCAGACTGGGCAGCCGGGCAGAGGGGCTCCTCACATCCCAGACGATGGGCGGCAAGGCAGAGACACTCCTCACTTCCCAGACAGGGTGGCGGCCGGGCAGAGGCTGCAATCATGGCACTTTGGGAGGCCAAGTCAGGCGGCTGGGAAGTGGAGGTTGTAGCGAGCGGAGATCACACCACTGCACTCCAGCCTGGGCAACATTGAGCACTGAGTGAGCGAGACTCCGTCTGCAATCCCGGCACCACGGGAGGCCGAGGCGGGCAGACCACTCACGGTCAGGAACTGGAGACCAGCCCGGCCAACACGACGAAACCCCGTCTCCACCAAAAAATACAAAAACCAGTCAGGCATGGCGGCGCGCACCGGCAATCCCAGGCACTCCGCAGGCTGAGGCAGGAGAATCACGCAGGGAGGTTGCAGTGAGCCGAGATGGCGGCAGCACAGTCCAGCCTCTGCTCGGCATCAGAGGGAGACCGTGGAGAGAGAGGGAGAGGGAGAGGGAGACCGTGGAGAGGGAGAGGGAGAGGGAGAGGGGCAATAAACTTGTTTGATGGATATATTGACAAACCGATAGAGAGCATTAGATGGTTTTTGTTCTGAGTGCCTGCCTACTGCTGTGGAGTGACATAGGGGTTATCTGCTGGCCTGTAGGGCCTGAGATAAGTTGATGTGAGAATGTTCAAGGCTAAGAAATGTCCTGTGGCAAAAGACACCAGAGACAAATCATATCTAGTAATCTAGATGTGATTGAGGACCATATGTTTGTAAGATAAAATGAATATAACATGCTAAATTAAAAATAATCATTTCAAAAGAGCTATGGTATAAAGTACTATAGTCAGTGCTACTCGAACTGGGAAAATAAAGTGAAGAAGTAAGTCTTTATGTTTGTAAATATAAAAAAGAGAAATAAAGAGCATACACATAATAATGTGCTTGAATTTTATTGCTTTTGGAGAGGAATGAATTTCTATTACTCAGAAACAGCAGTGAAAACAGCTTAACATTTAAATTGCAAGTATCTAATCAAATGATAATTAGGAAGGGAAGTATCCTGAAACACAGAATTCACTAAATCATGGTATTTCTTTTATTCTGCATTGCCTTATGATAATTCTTCAAAAAGCAGTGGTAGTGTGATGCGGTATGACAAATGAGAATACACGAGTCCAAAGCGAATTTGCCAGTCAAACCTATGAAGAAAAAGAAAATAACACTTTATCGCCCAAATTGATATTCCTGTAAATAAATTTATACTTTTCCTGGTACAAAGTATTTATTTATAGATAGTTTTATTTATTATAATGCAGGGACCAAAATAATATTTGAGACAGAGTAGACAATTAAACAATTAAATACTCATTAAGTGGGTATCAGAATAAATAAAAATTATCATTCAGCATCTGCAATTTAAATTTAAATTTTTCTTGAGGTTTTCCATCATCATCTTATTTTATTCTCTCACTTAAATATAGCCTACACATTTCATCTATCTCCCTCAAATAATATTTTACCTATATCCTCCCCTGATTAAATGTCATCAGCAATTATCTAACACCTGGAGGATCAAGATCAGGCCTTTTCTAATATCACGAAGAGCAGGAATTCAATATGAATAAAATGTCCCAATACATTTAAAAATATTTGAAATCTTTTGAACTATTTCAATTTTGAATTGTAGAACAGTACTCTTTTATCTCCAAAATATTACTTTATTTTGAAGTATAATATTTAATATTTCATAGATTTTGGAACATTTTATGCTGTGAATATAGATAAGTAAAAATGACTTTCTAAAAAGGACATTGTTACCATATCATATTTCCTTGAAAATTCCCATCTCCTTGTTGATATTTTATTAGTCATTCCTATAGCCATTGCTCATTAGAGTTACTTAGGCATAAAACGTAAATTTCTCATGAGTTCCCAGATGGCGGTTGTGCAGCTTCTCCAAAGATTACATTTTAGGACAGAAAACTTCAAATAACAACCAGGTACAGATTTAGTGGCAGAGAAACCCATGGCCACAACCATACACCTTCCAGAACAAGGGCTTCCCTATAATGTCTCTCAATAGCCCTACAAATTCTATAAAGAGCTTAAGTATTATTATAACATGTATTTGTCTCTTATAAAATTAAGGTTAAGAGAAGATTAGGAATACTTTAAGGTCATGAAACTAGTTGTCAGGGTCAGGATAAAAACACAGGGGTTCCCCTACCCAGAACTCTGTCTCTTAACAGTAGCAAACAGAAGCTTTCCCTCAGAGGCATTTTTATTTTATTTTATGATTTATTTTAATTTAAGTTCAGGGATACATGTGCAGAATGTGCAGGATTGTTTCATAGGTATACATGTGCCATGGTGGTTTGCTGCACTATTGATCAGCCCTCTATGTTACCTTCTGTCACCTCCTACCCCCCATCCCTGGTGTGTGTTGTTCCCCTCCCTGATGTGTTCTCATTGTTCAGCTCCCACTTATGAGTGAAGCATGTGCTGTTTGGTTTTCTGTTCCTGTTTTAGTTTTCTGAGGATGATGGCTTCCAGCTTTATCCATTTCCCTGCAAAGGACAGGATCTCATTCCTTTTAATGACCGCATAGTGTTCCATGGTGTATACGTACCACATTTTCTTTATCCAGTCTATCATTGATGGGCATTTGGGTTGTTCCATGTCTTTGCTATTGTAAATAGTGCTGCAATAAACATATCTAGGCATATGTCTTTATAGTAGAATGCTTTATATTCTTTTGGGTATATACCCAGTAACGGGATTGCTAGGTCAAATGGTATTTCTGGTTCTAGATCCTTGAGGAATCCATAGTTTTCCACAATGGTTGAACTAATGTGCATTCTCACCACCAGTGAAAAAGTGTTCCTATCTCTCCACAACCTAGCCATCATCTATCGTTTCTTGACTTTTTAGTAATCACAATTCTAACTGGTGTGAGATGGTATCTTACTGTGGTTTTGATTTGCATTTCTCTAATGATTGTGATGTTGAGCTATTTTCATGTTTGTTGGCCACATAAATGTCTTCTTCTGAGAAGTGTCTGTTCATATCCTTTGTCCACTTTTAGACGGGTTTTTTGTTTTTGTCTTGTAAATTTGTTTAAGTTCCTTGTAGACTCTGGACACTACACCTTTGTCAGATGGGTAGACTGCAAAAATTTTCTCCCAATCTCTAAGTTACCTGTTCACTCTGATGATAGTTTCTTTTGTTGTGCAGAAGCTCTTTAGTTTAATTAGATCCCATTTGTGAATTTTGGCTTTTGTTGCCATTGCTTTTGGCATTTTCTTCATGAAGTCTTTGTCCATGCCTATGTCCCGAATGATATCACCTAGGTTTTCTTCTAGGGTCTTTTTTTGGTTTTGGGTTTTTCATTTAATTTTCAATCCATCTTGAGTTAATTTTTGTATAAGGTGTAAGGAAGGGGTCCAGTTTCAGTTTTCTGTATATGGCTAGCCAGTTTTCCCAGTACCATTTATTGACTAGGAGATCCTTTTCCCATTGCTTGTTTTTGTCAGGATTGTCGTAGATCAGATAGCAAGCAGAGACCTGCATCATGAATGAACTCCCATTCACAATTGCAACAAAGATAATAAAATACCTAGAAATACAACTAACAAAGGATGTGAAGGACCTCTTCAAGGAGAACCAAAAATCACTGCTCAAGGAAATAAGAGAAGATGCAAACAAATGGAAAAACATTCCATTCTCATGGATAAGAAGAATCAATTTCATGAAAATGGCCTTACTGCCCAAAGTAATTTATAGATTCAATGCTATTCTCATCAAACTACCATTGACATTTTTCACAGGATTAGAAATAAGTACTTAAATTTCATAATTATCTACAGAAGAGCTCATATACACAAGACAATTGTAAGCAAAAGGAACAAAGCTGAAGGCATCACACTACTTGACTTCAAACTACCCTACAAGGCTACGGTTACCAAAACAGCATGGTACCGGTACCAAAACAGACATATAGACCAATGGAACAGAACAGAGACCTCAGAAATAACACCACATATCTACAAAGTCAGAAGCATCTATATAAATCAACACACTTCAAAGAGCTAACCCACGCTACATTTCTTAAACTGGAATGATTGTTGGCTTAATGGCTTTTTTTTAATTTTTCCTTGTTTTAACTGTCAGTGTTGATACTTCTAGAAAGAAAAGTAACTAGAGTCAGCTTACCTCCATAATCATGCCCCGTGATTACTGAAGATATCAATTGTCATACAGATAATTTGATCTATAGCCTCGATGTGAATGATGCTTTTCCTGCATACACACAAAAGGAGAGAGCAAATTGCAGAGAATAGAGGCAATGACAGTAAAAATGCTTCACAAAAACTGTCACTGAAAGCTTAGATTGTTAAAGTTGTTATGACCTCGTGTGTTATCTACATAAATGTTTTCAAATTTTTAGTTACATTTTTCTTCTTTCAGAAAAATGTTTAAAAGCAAGTAAAAATGATAAAGTATTTACTGTGTGTTGATATTTTTGTGGCAATAATAAATGTTGGAACACTGATTATAGGCAACCTCTCCAAACAGGTTTTAAATCTTCTTAACAACATTACCTCCAAGTTACTATTTTGCCCAACATTGAGTATAACGGGGAGGAGAAAGTTACCGTTTCCAACTTAGGTGGTGTTTCTTCATCTTATTCTTTTAATGAGCTTACTTTCTCTTACAACTCCTACATTCTTTCATACCCACTGCTGTTAACACAAACAGTCCTCATTCCTTTTTATGCATCATTTTACTTAGTGCTTTTTTAACACATATACTTGCTATATTAGTAAGCAGAACTTTTGAACCCCTATTCATACTGATATTAGAGGTCAAAATAATATGATATTTTTATACATACATTTAGAAAAATGTTAAATAAAATTTTCTGTCTAATTTAGCACAGTAAGTTTAATTTAAAGACTTTATCATCCTCAAATATTATAAGATAGAAACCACATTACATGGGTAGCCTCTATGCTTCATTAGGCATATGTTATACTTCATAGAATTAGGAATTATTCATAGAATTAGGAACTATTCTTTAGGTCAATGTAATTATTTATAAGAGAAAGATACTTAAGCTCTCAAAGAATAATTGAAAATTGACTTATTCAGAGTGTAATTGAGTTTCCGTTGAAATGCTGTTAGAACACAAGATTTTTGTGACCTTTTACCTCTGTAACAAGAATAAATGAAATCAATGTACACTTTAGCAATTAATGATATAAATATATTTGAGAGATAACTATCAATTATTCTAGGAGAATAAATAGTCAGAGAAGAAAACTTATTCAGAGTGCACATTATCAGAAGAACACTTACATGGAATTTTCTTTTATACCCATGATGTCTCTATGAAATAAAAAGAAAAGATTAAAAATTCAATATATGATTAATTATCAAGTTTTCCAGTAAATGAAAATGTCTTACCTTTGCATGTGAATCAGCTCCCTTGGAAAAGAAGAAAATGAGAAAATAATTAATATCTTAATTTCATAATTCAAGAATATGTGTAAAAATTGACTTAGCCACATTTATGATTAAATAGAATGGAGGCATTCTTTGGATGATGACATGCTAAATTAGTTATTTTAGCTTTATGACATCTTTAAAATGAGTGAAGGGTAAACTTCTCTATAATTAATATGCTATATTAAAGTATCAACTCATTTTGGTTTATATATCTTTTTTATGAAAGGCAAGAAAAGTCTATCATTGGTGAATAAGAGAGTGGAAACTGAAAAATGAAACATTGGATTGTTTTTTATATGAATATGTTCTATGTAGCTCAAAAGCTACCAACATACAAATATTTTATTTGCTGATAGAGACAGGCATTGTGCTTTTCTCTGTTCTTCTTATATGTTTATTTTTCTACTTCTATCCTTCTATAATAAAATCATGTGATAAACTGTGATGCCATAACCAATTTTGTTTTTGAAACATTCATTTGAATTTAGTGGATAGGTTGAAGTATTAGTATTCTTTTGTGACCAATTTTCTATTAACTTCATAGAAAGAAGAGGAGGAGTGGGAAGAGGATGAGAAAGTAGAGAAGGAGAAAGAGCTCCAGAGAGGTCAAGTGCCTTTTCTACTATTACACAGTAGTAAATGACGATACAAGCTGGGAACTCATGACACTTAACAGATATAGATTTGTTTTATGGCTTAAAATAGGCAGCTTTATTTTAGAAAGAGTAAAATAAATTGTATGCTAACTTGAACAGTTTGGTTGTGCAAGAAATTACTTGAAAATTCATATTTTGACACCCTCTAATACTTAGGTTCCATTGAAGTGTACCTTGTTCTTTCCTCAGATTTCTAACTTCAGGTGGTCTAGAGCTTTTAATATTTAAAGATATTTTCACAGTTCTCAGTCCCACATATTTATGAAGCTTGCTTAATTTTCTTTTATTTTTATATTCAAGTAATTGTACTTGAGTGTTCGCAGGTATGTAATGAATATTTATTCTAAGTCCTTTAAGAACTTATATAGGTTAATTCAAGGAAAATCTTTACATAGAAATATTAAAGCTGTATTGAGGTGAACATGAATATATGGCAGAACGTAAGGAATAAGAAAGATCCTTGGGATAAGTACTGAGAATGTATCCTTTAAAACTTCCAGATATACTTACAGTCATGGAAAGCATGAGAGCCAAGATTAAAGCAAAAACAAAAAACTTCATAGTTGGCTGAGTCCTATAAAATCAAACATGAAAAATCAGTAATCACATTCTTTCATGCATTCATTCATCAAACTTCTACTGATGACACTATGCTTCAAAGCATTGGGAGACATGCTCTGTTTTCCAGGCTGGAGTGCAGGGGCATGAGCACAGATCACTGCATCCTGGACCACCTGGGCTCAAGCCATCCTCCCACTTTAGCCTCCCTAGTTCCACTTGTAGGTGGAACTACAAGTGTGTGACACCATGACAAGCTAATTTGTTTTTCTTTTGGTAGAGAATATTTTTAGTCTCACTATATTGCCCAGACTGTTCTGAAACTCCTGGGCTCTAGGAATCTTCCTGCCTTGGCCTTTCAAAATGCTTGGATCTTCGGTGTGAGCCCAGGGCATAGCTTCATTAATTGATAAATAAAGGTGAGTGCTCTAATTTGGAATTATTAATATGCTAAGGAAACACACAAATGGACATCTTAAATAGACCAAGATAATGGGAGTAAGAAGATAACAAAGAAAGGCAAGCTTGAGTTGGATTATATGGAATGAGTAAAGGGAGGTGTTGGGAGACTGCAATGAAATACAACAGAGAGGAAAGCATGTTGAAAGTTCAAACAGTTTAGCATGTAGGGAGGACAAAACTGGAGAAAAGATGACCACTTAGGTTGTTGTGACATTACAAGGGATTTAGATAATGACATTAAGAATGCTAATTAAAGTACAGTGTAAAGACATATTTAGAAAGTAGAATGGCAAGTAATGGGGACTTTCTTTATAATAAAGTCAGTGAATATGAGCCAGATTTCTATTAAAGAATAGCACAGATGGTGCAACCTTGAGATTAGAACATTAATGGTATTGGTTAGAGAAAAATAAAATGAAGAGAAGTCACAGGGAAAATGATTGTATCTACTTTGAGAAGTTGAACTGGTGAAGATTATTCAATATTTCAAATAATATTATTCAAAGCCTCATCTGGGACTCTGATATGTTTTTATAATTATGCATATGCAAGTGAATCCAGTTCTTCGGCTGATATAAAAAAGTAAAGCGGATTACTTATTTCTAAATTACAAACATGTAAATAAAAGCATTTCCACTGGAAAATACAATTACCACAAAACTTAGAATTACATGGCATTTTTATTTGTTAGTTGCTAGCTATAAAGTAATTCATTAATAGATAATATTTTAAAAAATTTTTCTAATCTCTCTTACCTGTCACTTGTGATAGAACATTACAGTAACGTTTTTCATCTAATTATAATAAAAATGTCCTACTCTTAAACAGCCCTACATCTCTATCACAGAAAGCAGAACCCATTTGCCTTATTATTTCTTCATTCATTTTGCTTCACTCATTTAAATGGAAACTTCTTGTATAGGACTAACTATAAAAATTATATATTTCTTGAAGTTTTTCTATTACCTAATAGATAAATCAAATTATGACTCTTTTTATGATATAAAAAGACAATTTTACCGTTGTTTGTGACTGTCAATTGTGTTGCAAATAGAAAATCAAAAAAGGCTGTAAGAAAGTGCCCTTCTTTTACTAACAGATAAAATGATAAATGAACATAGATAATCAATGTATAATTAATAGTTTTGAAAAACATATTTCCCGAGTAAATCAATAATAAAAATTTGGAATAATAAACTGTCTTTTCTGCCATAACACAAATGAATGAAAATGAGTTAAATAAATTAGTAAGATTGAGAAGACTAATTGTTATACAGTATATATTTTGATTTATAACAGAACTGTTTTTAATGATGGAAAGGCCAATGAAAAAGTAATAAAATAGTTTACGACTAAGAGGAAAGTAAATTAAAAAATAAATTTTTATAATAATGAATTTGCAAGACAGAATCTATCAGTATCTTGTAAAATGTGAACTTCTACATTAAGTTTAATATAAAAGTAATAAGAAAGTAGATATCAGGTATCTAGGCAAGGAAATAAAAAGAGTTCATTGAGGTCCCACCATCAGCGAGGATGTAATACATTGCCATATTCCACATTAGTTACTTTGCATGATGATTGCTGGTGTTAATTCATAGGAATTGAGATCTAGAAGTCATCTTCAGATGCCAATAAATGGTAATTATTTCTTTATAAGAAATTATCATAGATAATATACATTTTCATAAGTGGGTTACTATTGATTTTAGCAAACAAAAGCTTATGCTAATATATAATATTAGATTGTACTTGAACATGTTACCTTTTACTCAAGAGGAGAATCCAGAAGTCAGTGAAGCTGAAGTGAAGTCTCAAGAGATGTCCTTTCCTAGATGGCTGATGTATTTAAACACGTTGAAATCTCCCTTTTGTTTTTTGAAATCTCCCTTTTGTTTTTCAAAATAACATCAATTATGAGATCATATGATCGAGACGGAAAGTAATGCCCAAAATCTGTCTCTACAAATTCTAAAAATAAACTTAACCAGGTGATTCTGCAATAGATCATTGTGAAGACAAGGCAACCGGAAAGCGAATGGACCCATCACATGCTAATCCCAGTGTTAGTCTAGCCCTGAGTGAGTCAGACAACGGAAAAGCACGCTGGAGGAAACCAGGCATAGAAATGATTGCAGTGATAAAGATGTTTCTGTAGAATACCATCTACTACTTTTCAACAAATATATGTCCAAGATGGAACAACGCTATGTCAAAAATAATACTTACCATGTTATGAAAAATTTTACACGTTCTCTAGTAAATAGTGATAATTGGCATAATAAAATTGGAGTCATTCTACACTTCAAAAGTTTTCCTACAAATCATCATTTATCTTGTATTTTTACCTGCTTACATTGACTTAGAATATTTTAAGTAATAAAATGAATGTAAACATTGGCCAAAATTCAGTCATCTTTTGGATGCCATATGATAAAAGTATTCTCATATTTAATGTCAAACGTTTCTAGGTGCTTGGTCACATATCTCTCACATAAAACTGATTTCTTATGTTTAGAAATTTGAATTTACTTCCCTGGAGTTTTCAGGGGCCCATATATCTTCACAGAGGTCATTTATTGAAATAAGTACACTAGACAGAAAGAGAAAAATAGAATTTTAATTAAATTAATAGACAAACATGTATAAAAGATCACCTACTCACTACCGGTTGTTTAATTCAATGTGCTAAGAACCGAGTATTAAAAACTAACTTCTAAGTTCAGATAAGTTGTACAGCTCAGTCCATTGTTCCTCAGGATGTCCCACATACTACCATCACAATCAGCATCAGCTCATACCTGTTGAAATGCAAATTCTTAGTCTACTTTTCCAAAATTACTGAGTCAGAATCTTGGGGTGTACACCTGGAACCTGAATTTTAAGAACATGTCCAGAACATTATTTGTGTACTTTAGAGTTTGAAAAACTATATAACAGATTTGTAAACGCATTGTCTTTAGATTGATCCCACTAATAGAGATTATGTTTTTAATTTGAGTCTGATACAGGAAAGGGAACAACACACATCAGGGCTGGTGGCTGGGGAGGGAGGGAGAGCCTCAGGGCAAATAGCTAATGCATGCGGGGCTTAAAATCCAGACGACGGCTTAATAGATACAGCAAACCACCATAGCACACGTTTACCTGTGCAAAAAACCTGCATATTCTGCACATGTATCCTAGAACTTAAAGTAAAATAATAAAATAAAATAAAATGAATTTGTGTGGTTTTTAAAGGAAATATTTATTAGGTAAATGTTTTATGCTAATTTGAACAGTCCCATTGGAAATTATGGTTATTCTCTAGGTAATATACAACAATATATGTTATTGTACCTAATATTATTAGGCACATGTAATTTATATATAATATATAATTCACATACCAGTGTATTGCCACAACTGTGATAAGGCAGTAGCTATTGATATTTCCCTTGTAATTGAAAGGCATGGCCTTTTCAAAGAACATGACGCTTGCTTGTAGAGGACAAGATAACTGTTTTACTTAATTATAAAATATAAAGCTATGTTCTGGTCCATCAGTCTTCTAAAATGGCCTATTGTTCTTGGAGAGTGAGACCATAACTCACAAATATATAATTCAAGTAAATTATATTATTATTCTTGTTCTTTTGGCATGAAATTTCTAAACATCAGAGATACAAGGTCTCTTCTCTGGGGCAAAACAAAGCCATTCTCTTTACATTCTCAATGAAAAAGAATTACATAGGAGTCAGTGACTATTTTTTTTATAGATACATAGTCTGCATTCATCACCCAGGCTTGAGTGCAGTGGCGCACTCATAGCTTACTGAAGTCTGGAACTACAGCGCTCAATTGAACCGCCCCTCAGACTCCTAAATAGCTAGAGCTACAGATATGCACCACTGCTCCTGACTAATTTTTTTTTAATTATTTTTTGTAGAGATGGGGGTCTCACAATGTTGTCAGCACAGTTCTTGAACTTTTGATCTCAAGTGGTCCTCATGCCTAGGCCTTCCAGAGTGCTGGGATTACAGGCATGAGCCACTGCACCATCTCATGGTTCAGTAACTATTGAACTATGTCTGATTTTAAAAAAATATACCCTGCTTTAATTAATTGCTAAATGTCAAATGGTTTCCTTTCTTTGTTTTCTTTTCCATCTCCTCTCATTTCTTCCCTGTGGTGTTTTCTTCCCTAGTTTGTTTTTCTAACAATATTAGGTGCACTTCCAGTGGATCTAAGATATCCGTGTTCTAGTGCACAAAAAGAAAACTAA
Organism: Homo sapiens; assembly: GCF_000001405.40. Taxonomy (NCBI): domain Eukaryota; kingdom Metazoa; phylum Chordata; class Mammalia; order Primates; family Hominidae; genus Homo; species Homo sapiens. The sequence continues at coordinate 66,153 of NW_013171801.1, read as the reverse complement.
TAGTCCAAAAGCACTACCAGACAGCAAACTAACAAGTAAGATATACTGGCAGATGTCAATATACTCATTTAAAAACTACAATTAAACCTAAGGCATATACATTTTATGTTGGAACACCAAAATGTAGGCATTATTTCACCCATGATTTTCTGCTTCTCCAAGTTAGGAAGTGTGGGGATTATGTATGACAGGTGGAACAAGCATAGTGGCATAGAAATACAGTAGTGACCTTCTCATGCTAGTTATGGTCTCACCCTCCAGAAACAGTAGGCCATTTTAGAAGACTGATGGACCAGAACATGGCTTCATATTTTATAATTAAGTAAAACAGATATCTTGTCTTCTATAAGCAAACATCATGTTCTTTGGAAAGGCCATGCCTTTCAATTACAAGGGAAGTATCAACAAAGAGCCACTGTCTTATCACAGTTGTGGCAATACACTGGTTGCTTATGGATACAATCCATGAATGGGTTTTTATAGTGATATTTATGCTGGGTTTTTATCCTCCTTCTTCACTTTCTTTTGCCTCTCCCCCTCCTCCTCTTTCTCCTCTTCTTGTTTGTGCTTCTCTTCCTCCATTTTCTGCTTCTCCTCCTCCTCCTGCTCCTCCATGTTCTCCAAATCACCTGTGATGAAAGTATGGACCAGAGCTATGTGACCAAAATCTATGATGTTTATTTATTTAACTAAAAAATCTTACGTTATAATCCTGTTTGAACAACTAAAATGAAAAATACTGCTATTGACCTATATGGAACAACATGTGACTCTCTACTCTATGAGATAAAATTTCCTTTATTCTGGAGATACCATTTGACTAGCTTTACTCCTACTCTTAAGGAGATTTTCATATAATTTGAGAGTCAGAAAACATTAATAGACAAAGAGATAGAGAAATTCAGGAGAGGACTAATTACGTGAGACTAAAATTGGAAAATGAAGAGCCACACTGGAGCTGCAGATGATTGGGGATTTATAAGCTGATTGATTATAATCAAGACTCTGAAATTAGAATAGATCATACAGGAAGGATGCATAGAATCAGAAGAAACTAGGCTGAGGAGAGATAACCTGATGTAATATGTGGAAGACAATAGAAAGCTCATTAAAATATTTGTGATAAAATAGATGAGCAGAGAAGAGATGTATTTCTAAGCAGTTTGTATGTTGCAGAAGCCAAGAGGATGAACCATCAAGAAGGAAATCATTTCCATAAACAAATGTTGTTGTGAACTTGGCAGTTGCTGAGTTTCTCTAACAAAATTTTTCTTATATTTAAGGTATTATAATAATAGTTAAAATTTAACTAAATGAGAATATATAAAAATACATTTTAAATAAAAATGCCCCAAATGCAAACAGGAGGTTATATCATTATAGTTTTACCATAAAAATCTTCATTGGAAAGAATATCTTAATTTTAAAACTTCTTTAAGAATAGAGGAGGAAATGCAAAACAGATAACTGTAAGAAAATATTTTTGAAAAACCTGAGAATCACCTCAAGGATCGAGATGTTGGAGAAAGTTAGAAATTTGATTAAGTGTGTAGTAATTTATAGGGAAGTTTAAAGAGGTTATGCAAAATGGGCTTAATTTTTTCTTTTCAAAATAGCTAGAGTTTTTTTTTTCTGGAATTAATTAGTGGGTGAGATGAATTGGATGCTTCAGAATACGAGTAATATATTTGGACATTTTGTTGGAAGGAAAGGATAAGAGTATAAAACTAAATAAAAGAAAAATAGTTGCTAAGCAATGTTGTACTCCACACTTAGAAAACAAAAAAGAACCTTTTTTTTTCGTGTAGATTTGAGTTTTCTTGGTAAAGGTGCGGTGTAGGAAAATTTATCAATTACTAGGATTGAGATTTTAGTGAAAGGAGATTCTAAAACCCAGAATTCATTATTGTTGTCTCAGTTATATTATTAGGTATTGAATGATGAAGATGAAGTCCTGGGTTGGAAGAAAATGAAATACAATAAAGAATGAACAGACAATAAATCAACATATGAATATCAAGGCTCTACAGTTTTCTGTAAGGTCAAAGTACAGGTATCTATGCTTCAACCTTTGTCTCACTTCCAAAATATAAATCAGATCATGTACTCATCCAATGGCATCCATCTCAATTCAAAGGCTATGCTTGACCTACAGAGCTTGAATTATCTGCATGCCCTTTTTCTGTGACCTAATTTATTTTGATTCACTTTTTGCTCTCTCTGTTCATATTAATCTCCTTGAAGTTTCCCCAAATACAACAAACATATTTCTACCACAATAGATTGACATTTGCTATTCCTTCTGCTGGAGAATTTCTTTCCTCATATTCTTTCTATAATTAGTTCATATCTCTTCTAAAATGTCACTATATCAAAGAGGCTGTTCTTGACTATTCCATTTAAAATGTCATCTATGCCTTAGCCCTACCTTATACTTCTTCAGTACACTTATCGCCTAAGATATTACCTATTAATTTTGTACTTGTTTGTATTTCCAAACAGCCATGTAAACTCCCCATAGGCAGGCTTTCATCTGTCTTATACCTTGCTGTGTCTCTAGCATCCAGAAGAGGCCTGACAGCTAGCATCACTCAATAAGTATTTGTTGAATGAAAGTAATTGCTGACAAACTGATGGAGGGCATTAGATGGTTTGAGTTCTGTGTTCCCATTACTGTGCAGTGACAATGGGGGTTATTTTCTGTCTTGTAGAAACTGAGATAAAAAATGTGAGGACCTTCGAGGCTGACAAAATTTGCTGTACCAAAGGAAACCAGGAGCCAATCAAATGTTAGATAAATAGGCCCAATAATCTAGCTGAGCTTAAAGATTATATGCTTGGGAAATGTAAAATATGACAGACTAAATTAGGAATAACTGACTCTAAAGGAGCTCTGACATAAAGTGTTTCAGTCAGTGGTACTCAAACTGGGTAAAAGAAATGATGAAAGGAATAGTTATATCTGTAAATATAAAAAATAGAAATAAAGAATTTTCACAGAAGAATATGCTGAAAATATTTTGCATTTATCAAAATAATGGATTTCTGTTACTCAGAAACAGCACTGCAAACAGCTTAATGGTTTGAAATTGCAACTATCCAATCAAACATCCATTAGGAAGGCGGGTATCTTGAAACAGAGAAAATACACTAAGTCATACTCTTTCTTGTATTTTGTTTTGTCTTTTGGATAATTCAGCCAACTCCTGTAAAAACATTTATATTCTTCCTGGCACAGAATAACTATTTATAGATCATTTAAGTTAATATAACGCAGGGCTCAAAATAATATTTTACATAGAATAGATAATTAAATACTTGTTAAATGGGTGTCAGAATAAATACAAATTATCATTAAGCATCTGCAAGTTAAATTTAAATTTCTCTTAAGTTTTACTTTTTTTATTTATTATACTTTAAGTTTTAGGGTACATGTGCACAACCTGCAGGTTTGTTACATATGTATACATGTGCCATGTTGGTGTGCTGCACCCATTAACTCGTCGTTTAACATTAGGTATATCTCCTAATGATATCCCTCCCCCCTCCCCTCACCCCACAACAGGCCCTGGTGTGTGATGTTCCCCTTCCTGTGTCCATGTGTTCTCATTGTTCAATTCCCACCTATGAGTGAGAACATGTGGTGTTTGGTTTTCTGTCCTTGCGATAGTTTGCTGAGAATGATGGTTTCCAATTTCATCCATGTCCCTACAAAGGACATGAACTCATCATTTTTTATGGCTTCATAGTATTCCATGGTGTATACGTGCCACATTTTCTTAATCCAGTCTATCATTGTTGGACATTTGGCTTGGTTCCAAGTCTTTGCTATTGTGAATGGTGCCACAATAAACATATGTGTGCATGTGTCTTTATAGCAGCATGATTTATAATCCTTTGGATATATATCCAGTCATGTGATGGCTGGGTCAAATGGTATTTCTAGTTCTAGATCCCTGAGGAATCGCCACACTGACTTCCACAATGGTTGAACTAGTTTACAGTCCCACCAACAGTGTAAAAGTGTTCCTATTTCTCCACATCCTCTCCAGCACCTGTTGTTTCCTGACTTTTTAATGATTGCCATTCTAACTGGTGTGAGATGGTATCTCATTGTGGTTTTGATTTGCATTTCTCTGATGGCCAGTGATGATGAGCATTTTTTCATGTGTCTTTTGGCTGCATAAATGTCTTCTTTTGAGAAGTGTCTGTTCATATCTTTTACCCACTTGTTGATGGGGCTGTTTGTTTTTTTCTTGTAAATTTGTTTGAGTTCATTGTAGATTCTGGATATTAGCCCTTTGTCAGATGAGTAGGTGGCGAAAATTTTCTCCCATTTTGTAGGTTGCCTGTTCACTCTGATGGTAGTTTCTTTTGCTGTGCAGAAGTTCTTTAGTTTAATTAGATCCTATTTGTCAATTTTGGCTTTTGTTGCCATTGCTTTTGGTGTTTTAGACATGAAGTCCTTCCCCATGCCTGTGTCCTGAATGGTATTGCCTAGGTTTTCTTCTAGGGTTTTTATGGTTTTAGGTCTAACATTTAAGTCTTTAATCCATCTTGAATTAATTTTTGTAGAAGTTGTAAGGAAGGGATCCAGTTTCAGCTTAAGTTGTAAGGAAGGGATCCAGTTTCAGCTTTCTACATATGGCTAGTTTTTCAATTATTATTCTATTTTTCTCCCACTTAAATATAGCCTACACACTTTATTCATATTTATTTTCCCAAATAATATTTTCAATATATCCTTTCTTGATTAAATTTTATTAACTATTATCGAATGCCTAGAGGATCAAGTTCAGGCTGTTTGCCATATCATTAATGTCAGCAGGATATTCAATTGGAATTTTTTAACTGCTTTGCTCTCTTCTTTAAGGAGCTATTATATAGAAAATGGATTTTTTACAGCTTACGTAGAATTTCTGAAAGTAATGGATTTGGCTCCAACTTAAAAGTTCACAAAATCATTTTTTAGATTCCATAATATTTGGAAACTGAAATTTTATTTCTTCCATTTTCATATTCTAATGCTGTCTGTGACAGACAGAATAATTGGTCACCTATAAAGTGAATTACTGCTGAGTCAAACTTGTCTTCAATTAAGGTACTCAATATTAATGATAATGATTAGGATTATATAACATATAGTTGAGAAGAGGAAACTTTGATGATCATTCATTGTGGAAATGTATAATTTATCTTTATATACAGCTATCTTTCTTATGACTGTAATTTCATGTTTAATTATACTTCAGAAAATTAGATACCAAATTGAAGTATTGCATAAGCATCATGAATATTGAACAGTTCTTTTGACCTCAGCTTGTATTTACTTTCTTTCAATGTCTTTTGTTCTCATTCAAAGTAATATTTAAGGAATCATAAAATATTAGAACCAAAAGTGTCCTTAATGCATAGATAAATTTTCTGTGCACGGAATGTACCAATTCTTTACCAGTTCTTGAAAATAGTCATTTTATGTCTACTTGAATTATCAATTTATTGTTTTTTTCAGGCCTTACCTTTGAGTGCAGGGTATTTCTAACGTCTAATAGTCAGAAGCTGATTACATCCTAAGGGTGTGTTGTAGGCAAACCAATACCTTCCCACCCCTCAAATATGTCCTCATTCTCATTCCAGGAATCTTGGAATACATTAGCTTACATGGCAAAGGGAAATTAAGATTGCAGATGGAATTAAATTTGCTTATCACCAACGTTGAGATTATTCAGGTGGACCCAATGTAATCACAAGAGTCCTCATACGTGGAAGAGAAAGACAGAGGGTTCAGAGTGATGTAATATAAGAAGACTCAAGTGGCCATTGCTGGCTTTGAACATGGAGGAAGGGGCCTATAAGCCAAAGAATACAAGCAGCCTCTAGAAGCTAGAAAAGTTGAGAATATCTGGATTTTCCTTGGCATCTCCAGAAAAGAATTCAGTCCTGCTAACACTTTGATCTTATTCTAACAGGACACATTTTGAACTTCTGACCTCCAGAATTGTGAGATAAAACAATTTTGTTGTTTCTGGTAATTTGTTACAGCATCAATAGGAAACTAATGGAGGCAGTGAGTAGTGTGGCTACATATACGGAATATGATACTCGGCTTGGCTTTTGAAATCTAATAAACCTAAATACAGGTATTTTTTCCCTACTAATTTACTAAATGTATGACATTGGGTAACAAACTTAATCCTGTTCAATGTTGATTTCTTTGGCTATAATAATGCATGCTTCAACAAAATTGTATAATGGTTACATAAATACCTTGTGGGAAAGCACCTATCCCTCCAGAACAGTAAGTGAGAAACATTCTTGCTGCCATTTAAAGTAATTGTTTGGGGGGAGGAGCCAAGATGGCCAAATAGGAACAGCTCCGGTTTACATCTCCCAGCGTGAGCGATGCAGAAGACGGGTGACTTCTGCATTTCCATCTGAGGTACCGGGTTCATCTCACTGGGGAGTGGCAGACAGTGGGTGCAGGTCAGTGGGTGCACGCACCATGCATGAGCCGAAGCAGGGCGAGGCATTGCCTCACTCAGGAAGCGCAAGGGGTCAGGGAGTTCCCTTTCCTAGTCAAAGAAAGTGGTGACAGATGGCACCTGGAAAATCGGGTCACTTCCACATAAATACTGCGCTTTTCCGATGGGCTTAAAAAACGGCGCACAAAGAGATTATATCCCACACCTGGCTCAGAGGGTCCTATGCCCACGGAGTCTCACTGATTGCTAGCACAGCAGTCTGAGATCAAACTGCAAGGCGGCAGTGAGGCTGGGGGAGGGGCGCCCGCCATTGCCCAGGCTCGCTTAGGTAAACAAAGCAGCCAGAAAGCTCGAACTGGGTGGAGCCCAACACAGCTCAAGGAGGCCTGCCTGCATCTGTAGGCTCCACCTCTGGGGGCAGGGCACAGACAAACAAAAAGACAGCAGTAACCTCTGCAGACTTAAATGTCCCTGTCTGACAGCTTTGAAGAAAGCACTGGTTCTCCCAGCATGCAGTTGGAGATCTGAGAATGGGCAGACTGCCTCCTCAAGTGGGTCCCTGACCCCTGACCCCCGAGGAGCCTAACTGGGAGGCACCCCCCAGCAGGGGCACACTGACACCTCACACGGCTGGGTACTCCAACAGAACTGCAGCTGAGGGTCCTGTCTGTTAGAAGGAAAACTAATAAACAGAAAGGACATCCACACCAAAAACCCATCTGTACATCACCATCATCAAAGACCAAAAGTAGATAAAACCACAAAGATGGGGAAAAAACAGAACAGAAAAACTGGAAACTCTAAAAAGCAGAGTGCCTCTCCTCCTCCAAAGGAACGCAGTTCCTCAACAGCAACGGAACAAAGCTGTACGGAGAATGACTTTGACGAGCTGAGAGAAGAAGACTTCAGACGATCAAATTACTCCGAGCTACAGGAGGACATTCAAACCAAAGGCAAAGAAGTTGAAAACTTTGAAAAAAATTTAGAAGAATGTATGACTAGAATAACCAATACAGAGAAGTGCTTAAAGGAGCTGATGGAGCTGAAAACCAAGGCTTGAGAACTACGTGAAGAATGCAGAAGCCTCAGGAGCCGATGTGATCAACTGGAAGAAAGGGTATCAGCAATGGAAGATGAAATGAATGAAATGAAGCGAGAAGGGAAGTTTAGAGAAAAAAGAATAAAAAGAAATGAATAAAGCCTCCAAGAAATATGGCACTATGTGAAAAGACCAAATCTACATCTGATTGGTGTACCTGAAAGTGACGAGGAGAATGGAACCAAGTTGGAAAACACTCTGCAGGATATTATCCACGAGAACTTTCCCAGTCTAGCAAGGCAGGCCAACATTCAGATTCAGGAAATACAGAGAACACCACAAAGATACTCCTCAAGAAGAGCAACACCAAGACATATAATTGTCAGATTCACCAAAGTTGAAATGAAGGAAAAAATGTTAAGGGCAGCCAGAGAGAAAGGTCGGGTTACCCTCAAAGGGAAGCCCATCAGACTAACAGCAGATGTCTCAGCAGAAACTCTGCAAGCCAGAAGAGAGTGGGGGCCAATATTCAACATTCTTAAAGAAAAGAATTTTCAATCCCGAATTTCATATCCAGCCAAACTAAGCTTCATAAGTGAAGGAGAAATAAAATACTTTACAGACAAGCAAATGCTGAGAGATTTTGTCACCACCAGGCCTGCCCTAAAAGAGCTCCTGAAGGAAGCGCTAAACATGGAAAGGAACAACTGGTACTAGCTGCTGCAAAATCATGCCAAAATGTAAAGACCATCAAGACTAGGAAGAAACTGCATCAACTAACGAGCAAAATCACCAGTTAACATCATAATGACAGGATCAAATTCACACATAACAATATTAACTTTAAATGTCAATGGACTAAATGCTCCAATTGAAAGACACAGACTGGCAAATTGGATAAAGAGTCAAGACCCATCAGTGTGCTGTATTCAGGAAACCCATCTCACGTGCAGAGACACACATAGGTTCAAAATAAAAGGATGGAGGAAGATCTACCAAGCCAATGGAAAACAAAAAAAGGCAGGGGTTGCAATCCTAGTCTCTGATAAAACAGACTTTATACCAACAAAGACCAAAAGAGACAAAGAAGGCCATTACTTAATGGCAAAGGGATCAATTCAACAAGAAGAGCTAACTATCCTAAATATATATGCACCCAAAACAGGAGCACCCAGATTCATAAAGCAAGTCCTGAGTGACCTACAAAGAGACTTAGACTCCCACACATTAATAATGGGAGACTTTAACACCCCACTGTCAACATTAGACAGATCAACCAGACAGAAAGTCAACAAGGATACCCAGGAATTGAACTCAGCTCTGCACCAAGCGGACCTAATAGACATCTACAGAACTCTCCACCCCAAATCAACAGAATGTACATTTTTTTCAGCACCACACCACACCTATTCCAAAATTGACCACATACTTGGAAGTAAAGCTCCCTCAGCAAATGTAAAAGAACAGAAATTATAATAAACTATCTCTCAGACCACAGTGCAATCAAACTAGAACTCAGGATTAAGAATCTCACTCAAAACCGCTCAACTACATGGAAACTGAACAACCTGCTCCTGAATGACTACTGGGTACATAACGAAATGAAGGCAGAAATAAAGATGTTCTTTGAAACCAGCGAGAACAAAGACACAACATACCAGAATCTCTGGGACACATTCAAAGCAGTGTGTAGAGGGAAATTTATAGCACTAAATGCCCACAAGAGAAAGCAGGAAAGATCCAAAATTGACACCCTAACATCACAATTAAAAGAACTAGAAAAGCAAGAGCAAACACATTCAAAAGCTAGCAGAAGGCAAGAAATAACTAAAATCAGAGCAGAACTGAAGGAAATAGAGACACAAAAACCCCTTCAAAAAATCAATAAATCCAGGAGCTGGTTTTTTGAAAGGATCAACAAAATTGATAGACCGCTAGCAAGACTAATAAAGAAAAAAAGAGAGAAGAATCAAATAGACACAATAAAAAATGATAAAGGGGATATCACCACTGATCCCACAGAAATACAAACTACCATCAGAGAATACTACAAACACCTCTACGCAAATAAACTAGAAAATCAAGAAGAAATGGATAAATTCCTCGACACATACACTCTCCCAAAACTAAACCAGGAAGAAATTGAATCTCTGAATAGACCAATAACAGGATCTGAAATTGTGGCAATAATCAATAGCTTACCAACCAAAAAGAGTCCAGGACCAGATGGATTCACAGCCAAATTCTACCAGAGGTACAAGGAGGAACTGCTACCATTCCTTCTGAAACTATTCCAATCAATAGAAAAAGAGGGAATCCTCCCTAACTCATTTTATGAGGCCAGCATCATCCTGATACCAAAGCCGGGCAGAGACACAACCAAAAAAGAGAATTTTAGACCAATATCCTTGATGAACATTGATGCAAAAATCCTCAATAAAATACTGGCAAACCGAATCTAGCAGCACATCAAAAAGCTTATCCACCATGATCAAGTGGGCTTCATCCCTGGGATGCAAGGCTGGTTCAATATACACAAATCAATAAATGTAATCCAGCATATGAACAGAACCCATGACAAAAACCACATGATTATCTCAATAGATGCAGAAAAGGCCTTTGACAAAATTCAACAACGCTTCATGCTAAAAACTCTCAATAAATTAGGTATTGATGGGACGTATCTCAAAATAATAAGAGCTGTCTATGAGAAACCCACAGCCAACATCATACTGAATGGGCAAAAACTGGAAGCATTCCCTTTGAAAAGTGGCACAAGACAGGGATGCCCTCTTTCACCACTCCTATTCAACATAGTGTTGGAAGTTCTGGCCAGGGCAATTAGGGAAGAGAAGGAAATAAAGGGTATTCAATTAGGAAAAGAGGAAGCCAAATTGTCCCTGTTTGCAGACGACATGATTGTATGTCTAGAAAACCCCCTTGTCTCAGCCCAAAATCTCCTTAAGCTGATAAGCAACTTCAGCAAAGTCTCAGGATACAAAATCAATGTACAAAAAACACAAGCATTCTTATACACCAACAACAGACAAACAGAGAGCCAAATCACGAGTGAACTCCCATTCACAATTGCTTCAAAGAGGGAAGAGTACTACATCAAGGAAGCACCCTATGAGATAAAAGAATTGGAACAGCAGCCTTGAGCCCCAGATCTTCCCTCTGACATAACCTACCCAAATGAGAAGGAACCAGAAAAACAATTCTGGTAATACGACAAAACAAAGTTCTTTAACACTCCCCCCAAAATCACACTAGCTCACCAGCAATGGTTCCAAATCAAAAAAGTCCTGAATTGCCAGAAAAAATAATTCAAAAAGTCGATTATTAAGCTAATCAAGGAGGCACCAGAGAAAGGTGAAGTTCACCTTAAGCAAATAAAAAATAATGATACAATATATGAAGGGAGAAATCTTCAGTGAAATAAATAGCATAAATAGAAAACAATCACAACTTTAAGATATAAAGGACATGCTTGGAGAAATGTAGACTGTATTGCAAAATCTCAGCAATAGAATCGAACAAGCAGAAGAAAAAACTTCAGAGCTCAAAGACAAGGTTTTTGAAATAACCCCATCCAACAAAGACAAAGAAAAAGAATTTTAAAAAATGAATAAAGCCTCCAAGAAGCTTGGGATTATGTTAAATGACCAAACCTAAGAATAATTGGCATTCATGAGGAAGAAGAGATATCCAAAAGTTTGGAAAATGTTTTTGGGGAAACAATCAAGGAAAACTTCCCTGGTCTTGCTGGAGATCTAGACATCCAAATACAAGAAGCTCAAAGAGCACCTGGGAAATTCATTGCAAAAAGATCATAGCCTAGGCACATAGTCATCAGGTTATCTAAAGTCATGATGAAGGAAAGAATGTTAAAAGCTGTGTGGTAAAAGCACGAGGTAACCTACAAGGAAAAACATATCATATTAACAGCTGACTCCTCAGCAGAAACCCTGCATGCTAGAAGGGATTGGGGCTCTATCTTCAGTTTCCTTAAACAAAACAACTATCAGCCAAGAATTTTGTATTCAGTGAACTAAGCTTCATAAATGAAGGACAAATACAGTCTTTTTCAGACAAACAAACCACTACGAAGCCAGTACTACAAGAACACCTAAAAGGAGCTATACACCTTGAAACAAATAATGGAAACACATCAAAAGAGAACCACTTTAAAGGATTACTCTCACAGGACATATAAAACAAAACAAAAACAGAAAAGCAACAGAAAAAAACAAGATTTTCAGGCAACAAATAGCACAATGAATGGAATAGTACCTCACATCTCAATACTAACGTTGAATGTAAATTGTCTAAATGTTCCACTTAAAGGATACAGAATTGACCAGGGATGGTGTCTCATAGCTGTAATCCCAGAACTTTGGGAGGCTGAGGTGGGTGGATCGTGAGGTCAAGAGATCGAGACCATCCTGGCCAAAATGGTAAAACCCTGTTTCTACTAAATACAAAAAATTAGCCTGGCATGGTGGCATGTGCCTGTAGTCTCAGCTGCTCAGGGGGCTGAGGTAGAGGAATCACTTGAACCCGGGAGGCGGAGGTTGCAGTGAGCTGAGATCATGCCACTGCACTCCAGCCTGGTGACAGTGCAAGACTCTCTCTCAAAAAAAAAAACAAAACAAAACAAAACAAAACAAAACAGCATTGCAGAATGAATAAGAATTCACCAACCAAGTATCTGCTGCCTTCAAGAGACTCACCTACCACATAAGGACTCACAAAAACATAAGATAAAGGGGTGGCAAAAGACATTCCATGCAAATGGACACCAAAAGCAACCAAGAGTAGCTATTCTTATATCAGACAAAACAAAGTTTAAAGCAACAGCAGTTAAAAAAGACAAAGAGGTACATTTTATAATGATAAAATGCCTTGTCACTGGAAAGTATCACAGTCCTAAATATATATGTACCTAAAACTGGAGCTCCCAAATTTATAAAACAATTACTATTAGATGTAAGAAATGTCATAGACAGCAATACTGTAATAGTGGGAGACAGCAATACTGTAATAGTGGGGGCTTCAATACTCCATTCATGGCACTAGACAGGTAGTCATCAAGACAGAAAGCGAACAAAGAAACAATGGATTTAAACTATGCCCTAGAACAAATGGACTCAACAGATATTTAGAGAACATTCTAACCAACAACTGCAGAATATACATTCTATTCATCAGTGCATAGAACATTCTCCAACATAGACTATATGATCAGCCACAAAACAAGTCTCAATAAATTTAAGAAAATTGAAATTATATTAAGTACTCACTCTGACCAAAGCAAAATAAAATTGGAAATCAACTCCCAAAGGAAACTTCAAGACCATGCAAATACATTGAAATTAGAAAACTTGCTCCTGAATGATCACTGGGTAAACAATGAAATCAAGATGAAAATGTAAAATGTTTTGAACCAAATGATAATAAAGACACAATCTATCAAAACCTCTGGGATGCAGCAAACGTGGTGCTAAGAGGAAAGTTCATAGCCCTAAATGCCTAGAACAAAAAGTTTTGAAAGAGCACAAATAGACACCTCAAGGAACTAGAGAAAAGAGAACAAACCAAATCCAACCCCAGCAGAAGAAAAGAAATAACCAAGATGGGAGAAGAACTAAGTGAAATGGAGACAAGGAGAAAAAAAAAGATAAATGAAACAAAAATCTGGTTCTTTGAAAAGATAAATAAAATTGATAGACCATTAGCAAGTTTAAACTTGAAAAGAAGAGGGAAAATCCAAATAAGCTCAATTAGAAATTAAATGGGAGATATTACAACCGACACCACAGAAATACAAAAGAACATTCAAGGCTACTCTGAACACCTTCATGCACATAAACTAGAAAAACTAGAGGAGATGGATAAATTCCTGGAAATATGCAACCCTACTAGCTTAAATAAGGAAGAATTAGAAACCCTAAACAGACCAATAACAAACAGCGAGATGGTAATAAAAAATTTCAACAAAAAAAAAGTCCAGGACTTGATGGATTCATAGCTGAATCTATCAGACATTCAAAGAATTGGTACCAATTCCATTGACACAATTACACAAGACAGAAAAGAGAGACTCCTCCCTAAATCATTCTATGAAGCCAGTATCATCCTAATACCAAAGCCAGGAAAGGATATAGCAAAAACAGCAAAAACTACAGACCAATATCCCCGAAGAACACAGATGCAAAAATCCTTAACAAAATACTAGCTAACTGAATCCAATAGCATATCAGAAAGATGATGCACTATGATCAAGAGGGTTTTATACAAGGGCTGCAGGGGTGGTTTAAAATATGGAAGTTAATAGATGTGCTACACCACATAAACAGAATTAAAAACAAAAATCACATGATATCTCAATAGACACAGAAAAAGCCTTTGACAAAATCAAGCATCAATTTATGATTAAAACTCTCAGCAAAGTCAGCACACAAGGGACATACCTCAATGTAATAAAAGCCATCTATGACAAACCCACAACCAACATAACACTGAACAGGGATAAGTTGAAAGCATTTCCTCTGAGAAGTGGAACAAGACAAGGACGCCTACTCTCACCACTTCTATTCAACATGGTACTGGAAGTCCTAGCTAGGGCAATCAGACAAAAGAAAGAAATAAAGGACATCCAAATCATTAAAGAGGAAGTCAAACTGTCACTGCTTGCAAATAGTATAATTGTATACCTAGAAAACCCCAAGACTCCTCCAAAAAGCTCCTAGAACTGATAAATGAATTCAGCGAAGTTACCAGATACAAAATTAACATACACAAATCAGTAGCTCTGCTATACACCAACAGTGATCAAGCTGAAAATCACATCCAGAATACAACCCCTTTAACAATAGCTGCAAGAAAAATTAAATACTTAGGAATATACCTAACCAAGGAGGTGAAAGATCTCTACAATGAAAAACTACAAAACACTGGTGAAGGAAATCACAGACGAGACAAACAAATAGAAACACATCCCGTGCTCATGGATGGGTAGAATCAATATTGTGGAAATGACCATACTGCCAAAATCAACCTACAAATTCAATGCAATTCCCATCAAAATACCACCATAATTCTTCACAGAACTAGAACAAACAATTCTAAAATTCATATGGAAACAAAAAAGAGCCTGCATAGCCAAAGCAATACTAAGAAAAAAAAATCTGGAGGCATCACATCATCACATTGCCTGACTTTAAACTATTCTGTAAGGCCATAGTCGCCCAAACAGCATGATCGTGGTATAAAAATAGGCAGTTAGACCAATGGAACGGAATAGAGAATCCAGAAATAAAGCCAAATACTTAACATCTAACTGAATTTTGACAAAGCAAACAAAAACATAAAGTGGGAAAAGGACACCTTATTCAACAAATGGTGCTGGGTTAATTGACAAGCCACATGTAGGAGAATGAAACTGGATCCTCATCTCTCACCTTATACAAAAGTCAACTCAAGATGGATCAAGAACTTAAAATCTAGGATCTGAATTCTAGAAGATAGCATCAGAAAAACCCTTCTACACATTGGCTTAGGCAAAGAGTTCATGACTAGGAACTTCAAAGCAAATGCAACAAAAGCAAGTTAATAGGTGGGACTTAATTAAACTGAAGAGTTTCTGCACAGCAAAAGGAACAGTCAGCAGAGTAAACAGACAACCCACAGAGTGGGAGAATATCTTCACAATCTATACATGCAACAAAGGACTAATATCCAGAATCTACAATGAACTCAAACCAATTAGCAAGAAAAATACAAACAATGTCATCAAAAAGTGGGCTAAGGACATAAATAGACAATTCTCAAAAGAAGAGATACAAATGGCTAACAAACATATGAAAAATTCTGAACGTCATTAATTATCAGGGAAATGTTAATCAAAATCACAATGCAATACCACCTTACTCCTGCAAGAATGACCATAATAAAAAATCGAAAAATAGTTGATGTTGGCATGGATGTGGTGAACAGAGAACCGTTCTACACTGCTGGTGGGAATGCGAACTAGTACAACCACTAAGGGAAATAGCGTGAAGATTCCTTAAAGAACTAAAAGTAGAACTACTATTTGACCTAGCAATCCCACTACTAGATATCTAACCAGAGGAAAAGAAACCATTAGACGAAAAAGATACTTGCACATGCGTGTTTATAGCAGCACAATTTGCAACTGCAAAAATATGGAACCAGTCCAGATGTCCATCAACGAATGGATATATATGATGGAATACTATACATATATATACATATATATATACATAAATATACATATATACATATATATACATATATATATATATGATGGAATACTACTCAGCCATAAAGCGGAGCGAATCAATGGCATTTACAGCAACCTGGTTGGAACTGGAGACTATTATTCTAAGCAAAGTAATGCACAAATAGAAAACTAAACATCGTATTTTCTCACTCATAAGTGGAAGCTACGCCATGAGGATGAAAAGGCATAAGAATGTTACAATGGACTTTGAGGACTTGGGGGAAAGGGTGGGAAGGGTGTGAGGGATAAAGGAGTATACGTTGGGTTCAGTGAATGTTGCTTGGTTGATGGGTGCACCAAAATCTCACAAATCACCACTAAATATTTTACTCATGTAAGCAAATACCACCTGTTCCCTCAAAACCTATGGAAATAAAAAAAAAGTTTTTAAAAAAGTGAACAGCTCTCTGCCAGAGATGGAAAAGCAATCAATTATATCCTTAGGCTTTTAATCTGAGCAAGAGGATGGTGCAGTTAATGGACACTGAGACAACAAGACATCTAATTTAATTTGTCAGATTTCCAGTCTTTTACATGCTAAGTGTGTAAGGTGGCGTGTCAAAAGGCAATTCAGGAGAAAGCATACACTACACCCATCTCACAGCATTCAGTGGCTTCCTCTCACTTTCTGACTCTGGGTTCAGAATCTGAACCCTAGCACTCTCCTTCTTCTCCCTTAAAAATGATTTTGGTCCCAAAAATAACTCTCTATGCTACATGCAACTCTTTGTAGATTGAAGATTGGAATTTATTTTTGACAATTTTTGTCAAGTTACTTTTAAGATAAGTATAATAAAAAAGACAATACAAATAATTCACTTTTCTTTCAAATTATTCTATAAAACATGCTTTTTAGACACTGGAAATATTGTATGTGGCTTAATATGTTGTTAGATGGGGAAAGGGATTTTTTTGAATAGGAAGAATCATCATGAGTACAGAACAAATAGGACTTACTTCCAACCCCGTAGGTAAAGGAAAAACATTCTTTTTATTAAATTTGAACTACTGATTAATCATTCCTAATTCTCTTATGCTTTCCAGACATATTCCTGAGTGATTGATTAAGTATTCATAACTACCCATTTCTTACTCTTTGCTTTGTCTTGACCAAATATTATTCTGGCTTCTTTCCTTCCTACAGGCCTCGAAATTCTGCTGCTCTTCAAGCCTGAGCAAGCACTAAAGATTGGAATGTGCCCCTTAATTAGCTTATCCTGAGACTCGGCAGACCACAGTGGGATACTTTTCTTATCAGATTCCACTGGTTTTTTTCCCTTGCTTCCCCAAATTCTCCTTAAAGGCTCTACTAATCTTTGCTTACCACCTCTCTCTATTCTATAAGAGAAAATTCTTTTTATGTTTGATTTTGACATACTCGCACATTTTTGAGATCAGATCTTTCTTCCTATTTTAATGGTCTTTCAACTGAATAAAGTCTCTCAATGTATGTTTGTATTTGACGTGATAAAAGGTTCTTGCCTAAAACTTGTGCCTTGGTTAAAGTTATGCATATTAAAAAACTGCAAAAATTATTCTAAAATATCTGATCAGAATTTACAATAAATTGCTGCTATCTCTACCACTTTTTTTAGTTCAAGCTCTGACCTCTCATCCTAAATTATTTTGGTAGATTTCCAATGGCCTTCCTTATTATCTCACTGCATGCTCTCTTATCCTAACTGCCATATTCCTGCTGTTATCATATGCCTAAATACTCGTCCAATCAGTTGACATTTTAGTTACATGATATTCTGTCTGAAGATTCCCTGTATTTTATCCACCTATCTCCAAAAATAGACAAAAAACTCTTGAGGAATGTAGTAGTTCAGTTCTACAATTTAACCAGCTTGGATTTTTAGTTTAAATGCTTTTAAAATTCTTGTTCTAAGTTAGCATAGCCAAATTAATTTCTTCAACATCTTCCACATAAACCAAACAAACCATATACACGACAAAATTCCTTGGGAAAAAAAAGAAACAAATACATAAATAACAGCCAACCATTATCTCTTTTTTGAAAGGCAGAAAAATGCTCTGCACTCTTATTTGCTAATCGAATCCTGACACGTTGCACCCATTTGTTTTTCCTCCTTTGCTGATTTGGTCTTTCATTCAATCCATCATTAAATCTATTAATTTCCTTTACAAAGACTCCTTTTCCATGTTTCTTTTAAGTCTTTCTATAACCTATTTCAGTCCCTTCCTTAAATATAGCCTACATATTTCATTCACATTTGTTGTTCCAAAATAATATTTTAAATATATCCTTTCTTGATCAAATATCATCAGCTATTACCTAATGCCTAGAGTATCAAGTTCAGGCTCTTTCCCATATCATTATTGGCAACAGAGAATTCGATTGGAATAAAACCTACAACTGCATTGAAAAATAATTGAAATCCTATGGATGATTTCAAAAGTAAATCACAGGACAGTGTTCATATTTTTTAAAGTTTACTTTGTTTTATAGTGAAAAACTAATTTTTCTAGAAATACCATTTTTTTCCTAGAAATTTAAAACATTTTGTGTTGCATATAAATAGGTAAAATTGCATTGACTTTCTAAAAAGGAAATTGATAACATTTTCCTCTCTGTTTTTTGACATTATATTAGTGGTTTTTATCCTAACTACTTACTAGAATTAAGACAAAAATTCTGAAAGTTATTACGTTATACATCACATAGGGATATTATTAAAACGCAGATTCTGATTCATTTGGTTTAGATGTGGTTTAGACTCTACATTTCTTACAAGATCCCAGATAGTGCTTGTGTAGCTTGTCCAAAGATTGCATTTTAGGAGGGAAACTTAAACAACGTCCAGAGATAGCTTTAGTGGCAGTGAAGCCTGCAGTCACGATTATGCACCTTTCTGATCAAGGGCTTTTATGTAATATGTCCTTCAATAGTCTTACTAGTACTACAAAGAGTACAAGTATTATCATAATACCTATTGTGTTGATGAGGAAATTGAACTTTGGAAAGGATTAGTAATACTTCAAGATCATGAAAATAGTAGTTGTCAGGAGCAGGATACAAACACAGGGGTTCCCCTCCCCAGAGCCCAGCCTTTTAATCATAACAGGACAGAAGATTTCCCTCAGAAGCATTTATATAAATGAATACATTTCAAGGAGCTATCCCAGGCTACATTTCTAAAGCTAGAACTGTTTTATGGCTTGTTTCTGTGTTTTTTCTTTTTAAGTGTCAGCATTGATATTTTTGAAAAGTAAACAAACATCACTAGACTCATCTTACCTCTATAAACATGCCCTGTGGTTGCTGAGCAACAAATGCCAAAAAGAAATTCCTACAAAATAGTGAGAATGAACTCGACTGGATGATTTTACAATAAAGATTGTGATGACAAAGTAACCAGGAAACAAATGGATCCATCACATGTTAATTAGTTTAGACATGTGAGAATAAAATGAGGGAAAAAATCATGCTACAGTAACCAAGCATAGAAATGATTACATATGTAATATGTTTGCGTGGACAACATTCTATTTTATTTCAACAAATATATGTCCAAGATGAAACAACTCTGACAAAAATGATATTAAAATCCTTCCAAAATTTAATCTATTTTCTAAGAAATAGTGATAACTGACATAATTGGAGTCATTATATATTTTTATAAGTTTTTCTAAAAATTATGATTAATATTGTACTTTTAATTTCTTCCATTGACTTTAAAATATTTTAAGTCATAAAGTAGATGTAAATATTTGCCAAAATTCTGTAATCTCTTGATTACTAGTATGTAATAAAATAATTCTTATAGTTAAAGTCAAATAGTTCTAGGTGTTTAGTATAATAATATACATCATACATAATAACTGGATACTTATGTTTGGAAATTCAATTTACTTCCCTGGAGTTTTTAAAGGCTCATATTTCTCCATGGAAGCCATGTATTGCCATGATTGCACTAGACAGAAAGGAGGAAAAAAGAAAAGAACTTTCACTAAGTTCCTAGATAAATTTCTTCAAAAACTAACCAACTTGTGACTGGTTGGATAATTCAAACACTTAGAACTCAATATTAAAAACTCATTTGTAAATTGAAGATAAATTATAAAGCCTAATCCATTGTTTCTGTGTGTGCCACATGGAACCATGAGAATCAGCATCAGCTGGAGCCTATTATAATGAAAATTCTTAGTCTCACTTTCCAAACTTGCTGAATCAGAATCTTGGGGGTACACCAGAAACTTGCATTTTAACAGTATCTCTAGGTGATACTTTCTGTACTGTAAAGTTTGAAAAAACACATAATTAACTCACAAATGCATTATTTGTCCTTAGACTTCATCCCACAAATAGAACTTGTGGCTTAATGTGTCAGATTTATTAGGAAAATATTTATAAGGTAAAGCTTCTATGTTATAATTGAACAGTCCTATTGGGAATAATGGTTATTCTCTGGATAAATACAAAAACATAAATTATTTCTTAAGGCAAATAAATAACTCAATTTAAAATAGATTTATTCTAAGCACTGGAGATACAAGGTCTCTTCTTGTGCTCAAAATAATACAAACTCTCATCACTTTTTAATGGGAAAGAGATACATAGTTCAGTAACTTGAAATATGTCTGACTGAAGGGTAAACACTGCTTTGGATATGCTTGAGTTGTCAAATGATTTCTCCCCTTTCTTCTTTCCTTCCTGTCTTTCTCTACTTTTTTCACTCTTTATTTCTTCACTAACCATTTAAACAACAATGTAAGGCACTGTTTTAGTACTTCTATAATATTCATGTTCTAGTGAACATAAAGCAAACTAATAGTCCAAAGGCACTGACAAACAACAAGCTACCCGGTAAAAATACTGATATATATTTTAATATAACATTTTACAACTACAATCAAACTTAAGTCATCTATATTTTATGTTGGAACACCAAAATATAGGCATTATTTCACACATCGTTTCCTGTTTCCCCAAGTTAGGGAGTGTGGGAATTGTGTATGACAGTTTGAACAAACATAATGGACTAGATACACAGGAGTGACCTTCCCTCCAGGAACAGTAGGAAGAGTGATGGATCAGACATGTCTTCATCTTCACATTTTATAATTAAATAAACCAGGTATCTAATTCTTTATAACAAAACACTATGCTCTTTGAAAATGCAATGCCTTTCATTTATAAGGGAAATGTGAAAAAATAGTGAAGGCTTTATCACAAGCATGTCATTAAATTGATGTCTTAAGGATGCAACCCATGAATAGGTATTTCCAGTCATATTTATGCTGGGCTTTCCTCCTATTCTTCTTGTGTCTTCTTTTCTATTTCTACTATGATGAAAGTATGAAATGTTTATGAAAAAATCTATGATGTTTATTTAAATAAAAATATCTTATATTCCAGTTTCCATACTAAGAGGACAAATACCTCAAATGACAAATGTGAAACAACATTGGACTGTATTCTATATAACATGAAACATTCTAGACACTGGTGATACAAAGTAAATGCTCTTTTCTGCTTCTAAGGAGGTTACAGTTCAATTTATAAAACATACAAGGTTAAAGGCAACTGCACATCAGTCTGGAGGAGTGTTTGTTATATAAGTCTAAATTAAGAGAAGAAGGAACTCTTCTTCCCACACATGAACTGCAGACTTTGGACTTATCAGCTTATTGATTTTAATCAATTATGAAAATGAATTATGAAAAGAAGTCACACAAGAAAGAAGTGTACAACCAGAAAAAAAGAAAGTTGAGAAAAGATCCCCTAGACAACACTGATGTAGTATGTGAGAGAAAAAGAAAGCCCATGAAAATCTCTGAGAGGGAAAAGAATAGTATAGTATTTTCAAGAAATATACGTACATAATGGAAACAAAAGGGATGAAATTTCAAGGGGAAAATGTTAATCACAATGAATAAAATTTGTAGTGAAATAGGGGATTCTGTAGTTTCTTTAAACTACAATTTAGTTACCCAGACCATGTTATAATAATAGTTGAAAGTGAATTAAATGAAAATATATATTTCATATATTAATATATAATATGAAATATGATTTATATATTTATATATTTCATATATATGAGAAATTTAAAATATACATTATTTAAAGGTAAATATTAGGTTGTTTTATTATTATTTTTAGCATGATAGTATTCATTTGAAAGAACATCTTAGTTTCAAAAATTTCTCTGAGAATAAAGGAGAAAATGCAAAACAAAGAATAATGAAAAAATATCTTTGGAAAACATGACAGTCATCTTCACCTTTAAGACTTTGAGAATTAGAAATCTGATCAGATATAGATTAATTTATTAAAAGTGAGAGTAAGAAGTTTAAGACACTTATGCCTAATGAATTCAATTTTCCTTTCAAATACGTATGTTGTTGTTATTATTATTATCAATATTATTATTTTGAAATTGACTACTGAGTGAGATGAGTTGGTTCCTTCAGAAAACAAATATTGGGGCAATTTATTGTAGGTTAATGAGAGAGGTATTGCATCAAATACGTGGAAAAAACTTGGTGAGCAATGTTGTACTCCAAATTTAGAAAACAAAAAAATCACATTTTTTCTATATATCTAGGTTTTGATAAAGAAACATGATATAAAATTTAGGGATTTATAGGATTGAGATATTAGCAAGTAGAGTTACCCAAACCCAGAAGTTCACTGGAATTGTTTGAGTTATTGCAAGTATATAGTGAATGAAAAATATGAAGTACTGGCTTAGAGGAAAATAAAATAAATTTTAAAAGGAACACATAGAATAAAAGGACATAAAAATAGGAAGGACCCACAGATTTCTGTAAGGCCCAAGTGTGGATATCTATGATTCAACCCTTGATTCCATTCCAAAATATAAATAAGATTATGTCTTTCTCCAATGTCATCCATCTCAAATCAAAGACTTAACATGGGCCACAAAGCTTTAGTTACCTGCGTATCCCTTATGCTGTGACGTAATTTATTTTGATCCACTTGCCTTCTCTGTCCATATTGGTCTCCTTGAATTTGTCCCTAATGAAACAAACATGTTTCTATCACAATAAATTTGCATTTGCTATTTTCTGCTGGAAAATTTATTTCTCCATATTCGCTCTCATGCTTAGTTCATATCTTTCATAAAATGTCACTATGTCAGAGAGTCTCTTGTTGACTATCCTGTTTAAATTTGTTTCTGTGCCCTAGACATGCTTATACTTCTTTAGCACACTTATCATTGCCTAAGATATGTACTATTTATTTACTTTGTATCTGCATCTCCCAACTACAATGTAAACTCTCCAAAGACAGGACTTTTGTCTCTCTTTGTCTGCAGCATCTAGAAGAGGACCTGACAGCTGGGGTCATTCAATAAATATTTCTTGAATAAAAGTCATTGCTGAAAAACTAATGGAGGGCATTAGATGGTTTACATGCAGAGTGCCTACATACTGCTGTAGAGTGACATGGTGGTTATCTTCTGACCTACAGGGACTGAGATAAAAAATGTGAGTGCTTTGGAGGCTTAGCAACTGTGGTGTGGCAAAGGAAACCATGGGCAAATCAAATCTTGGCATAAATAGCTCTAATAATAAGTGAGTTTGAGTACCATGTTTGTAACATATAAAATATGACAGACTAAATTATAAATAAGGACCTCTGACATTATGGGCTTCAATCTGTGCTAGTCAAACTGGGAAAGAAGATGATGAAAGAAATCATTATTCCTATAAATAGAAAAGAGAAAAATAAGGAGCATACATGTAAAAATGTGCTTGAAATTTATTGCTTTTAGAGAAGTGATTTCTATTATTCAGAAACAGTACTGAACACAGCTTAACAGTTTAAATTGCAATTATATCATCAAGTGACAATTGAAAAGGCAAGTATCCTGAAACAAAGAGTATACAGTAAATTATAGTGTTTTTCATTTGCATTGCTCTTTGATGATTCTTCAAAAAGTGGTAGTAGTGTGATATGGTATGAAAGATGAGAATATGGATGTAGAAGTCGTATTTGCCAATCAAGCCTGCACAGAAAAAAAAAAATAACAGATTATCTGTAAAATTTTTACCCCTGTAAACACATTTATATTCTGGCCTGGTACAGAGTAGATATTATATACAATTATAGTTTATAAAATGCAGGGCCCAAAATAATATTTGACACAGAGTAGACAATTAAACAATTATTAAATTGGTTCCTGAATAAATAAAAATTATCATTCAGCATCTACAATTTAAATTATTTTTCAATCATCATACTATTTTATTCTTCTACTTAAATATAGCCTACACATTTCATTTATATGCATTTCCTCTAAATAATATTTCAATACATCTTTTCTTGATTAAATGTCATCAGCTATTACCTAAAACCTAGGGGATCAAGTTCAGGCTCTTCCCTGTATCACTAATGGCAATAGAGAATTGAATTGGAATATAATCTCCCAAATGCACTGAAAAATAATTGAAATCCTTTGGACTATTTTAACTTTGTAGAACAATCCTCCCTTATCTCCAAGAGTTTGCTCTATTTTGTTTTGAAATATTATTTTTTCATAGAATTTAGAACATTTAATGTTGTGTAGAGATAGGTAAAACTGACTTTCTAAAAAGAAATTGATAACATTTCCATATTTTCTTGTTAGCATTATGTTAATAATTTCTATAGTAATTGCTCAGTAGAGTTACTTAGGGTACAAAATGCAAATTTCTCACAAGTTCCCAGATGGTTCCCAGATGGAAGCTTCTCCAAAGATTGCATTTTGGGAGTGAAAACTTTAAGCAACACCTAGGTACAGATTTAGTGGCAGGGAAGCCCTGCAGTTATAACTACAAACCTTTCTGATCAAGAGATTTTATGTGATATGTCTTTCAAAAGTGTCACCAATTCTAAAAAGCACATTTAAGTGTTATCATAATACACAATTTTTTGACGAGAAAACTGAGGTTCAGGAGCATTAGGAGTAGTTCAAAGTCATGAAACTAGTAGTTGTCAGGGCCAGCATACAAACCCTGGTGTCCCCCACTCTATAACACTGCCTTCTAACCATAGCAGGACAGAGACTATCTCAGAAGCATTTATATAAATTAATACATTTCAAGGAGCTATACAGCTGGCTGCTTTCTTATACTGGAACTGCTGTTGGTTTAATGTCTTGTTTTTGTTTTTCTTCTTTTAACTGTCAGCACTGATACAGAAAGTAAAAAAAATGTCACTAAACCCATCTTACCTCAATAATCATGTCCTGCAGTTACTGATGATATTAAAAGGTATATTGTTGGTATTGTGGTTGGTATGGTTGTGGGTATAGTGGTTGTTCTGGAACTGGCTGATAAGGGCCATACCCATACTGTATACACACAAGGAGAAAGAAAATTGCAGAAAATTGAGATAATGACAGTGCAAGCGTTTTTATTAGAAGCTTAGATTGTTAAAGTTTTAGGAACTTACATATTACTTATAAGATTTTTTTCCAAACTTTCAATTAGATTTTTCTTTTTGGTTATAAACACATTTTAAAAGCAGGTAAAAATGATTGAGTGTTTACCTTTGTACTGCATGTTCACAGTTTTGTGGTTTTATTTCACATGCAGGAACACCGATTATAGGCTATCACTCCAAAGAGGTTTTAAATTTTCTTCAAAATACTACCTCCCAGCAACCATTTTGCCCACCTTTGAGTATTATGGGAAGGAGACATTTACTAAATTCAGCTTATGTGGTGTTTCTTCAAGTCACTCTTTTAATGAGCTTACTGTCTCTTACGATTCCTACATTCCTTAATACTTCTTCCTTCTGTTAACACAAATAACCATCATCCCTTTTAGAGTATCTTTTTATTTGGTGTTATTTTAATCCATGTATTCACTATATTAGTTAGGGGATCTTTTGCAACCCTATCACATTGACATTATATGTCAACATACTGGGACATCAAGATACATACATTAAGAAAAATGTTAAATAAATGAAATTTGCTATCTCATTTATCATGACCTGTTTAATTTAATGAGTTTATCACCGTCAAAAAAAATCAGAAGGTGCAAACTTACCATATTTTATGTGTAATTATCAGCCTTTATGCTCCATGAGGCATATATTATAATTAACAGAATTAGAATTTCAACTATTTTTTAGGTCAAAGTGATTACTTAGGAGATGATACTTGAGGGCTCAGGGAGTAACTGGTTTCTTCAGGTTGGCACTATGAGTTTCAACTTAAATGTTGTTAGGACACAATACATTTGTGACTGTTACCTGTGTATCATAAATAGAGGAAAACAAAGCACACTTTTGCAACTACTACACATATTTGAGAAATAAGTATTGGTTCTTCTAGAAGAATAAGTAATCAGAGAACACAATTTATTTGGACTACACAGCATTATCAGAGAACACTTACACCGAATCTTCCAATTCTACGCAAAAATTTCTGTGAAAAATGAAGAAAAGTTTAATAATTCAATACAAATGTAGGGAGGACAAAACTGAAAACAAGTTTTCCAGTGAATGAAAATGACTCACCTCTTCAGATGAATCAGCTCCCTTAGAAAACAGAAAATTAGACAATAGTTAGTATCTTAATGTTATAATTCCAGATTGAGTACAAAAATGAACTCAGCAGCTACAGTTGTGAGTAAACAGGATGTAGGCAAATCATCGATAGACACTAAATTAGTTATTTTTGCTTCATGACATCTTTAAAATGAGTTAAGAGTATGCTTTTCTGTAATTAGTGTGCTATATTCAAATATAAATTTATTTGGATTTATACTTGTTTTGTGTGTAAAAGGGAGTAAATGGTTATCATTGGTGAATGAAAAGTGAAACTTTGTATTTTTTCATAAGAATATGTTTTCAGCAGCTCAAAGGCTACTTACACATAACTTTTATTTACTGACAGAGACAAGCATTATGTTTTTCTCTGTTTTCCTTACATTTTTATTTTTTATTTTTTAGACACCTATCCTTTTATAACAAATAATGTGGTATACTGTGATTTTATAATCAAATTAGTTTTTGAAATATCTGTTAGAATTTACCAGGTAAGTTGAACTATTTTTATTCTTTCATGGCCAGTTTCCTACTAATGTCATAGAAAAGGGACAGGAGAAATAGAAGGAAGTAGAGTAGAAGAAAGAGCTCCAGAGAAGTCAAGTGCTTTACCTAGTGATACATAGTAGTAAATGACAATAAAAGCTGGGAACTCATAACATGTCATAGATCTGAAGTTTTGTTTTATAGTTAAAAATAAGCAGCTTTATTTTAGAAAGTGTGTGCTAAATAATTGTATACTAATTTTAAGTTAGTTTTTGCAAGGAATGACTTGAAAATTTCTACTTTGACATCTTCTAATACTTGAATTCCACTCAAGTGCACCTAGTTCATTCCTGAGATTTCTAACTTCAGATTGTCTAGAGCATTACATGTTTAAAGATACTTTTAGAAGCTCTCAGTTCCACATATTTAAGAAGTTCAGTAAAACTTTCTTTTATTTCACACTAAGCTAAATATACTTTAGTGTCTGTAGATGAATAATGACTATTTATTCTAAATCCTTATATAGCTTATGTAGGTTAGTACAAAAAAAAGTTCATATGGAAACATTTAAACATATAAAGCTGTATTCAAGTAAACACCAATATATGCCAGAACACAAGGAATAGAGAGACTCTTGGGATAGGTACTGAGAACATATTCTTCAAATGTCCTGATATACTTACAATCATGGAAACCATGAGAGCCAAGATGAAGGCAAAGACAAGGAACTTCATAGTTGGCTGGGTTCTCTGAAAACATATGTGGAAATTCAGTATCACATTTTTTCTTGCATTCGCCCATCAAAAGTTTATTGATTATACTACGCTCCAAAGCACTGGGAGACACACTCCAGATAGAAAGACAATTAAAACCCATTGCCTGACATCATGAAACTTGGAGACTTGTTGGAGACACTGATAAGTAAAAGTGAGTGTATTGATATGGAAATGCTAAGGCATTAGAGTAACACACAAATCAACACCTTACACAGACCAAGAGAATAGGGGTATGAAGGTAAAGAAGAAAGTAAAGCTTGAGTTGGATTATGCAGGATGAGTAAAGAGGTGTTGGGTGACTGCAAGAAAATGAAAAAGAGGGAGGATACCATATTGAAAGTGCAAACAGTTCAAAATGTAGGGAAGATAAAACTGGAGCAGTTTATCAGAAGATAAAACTGGAACAGTTCAAAATGTAGGGAAGATAGAACTGGATATTATGGGGCGCCTTAAATAATGACATTAGGGATGATATTTAAGGTACAGTGTAAAGAGATGTTTGGATGTTAGAATGACCAGCAATGGGCAATCGCTTTATAATGTTACTGAAAATGAGCCAGATTTCTGTCTTGAGAGTTGCAAAAATGGGGTCACCTTCAGATTAGAACATTAATGATACTGGGTAGAGAACAATCAAACTGATAAGAAGTCACAGAGAAAATATTCGTACCTCCTCTGAGAAGTTGAATTGGTGAAGATGACTTAATATTTTAAATAATCTCATTCAACAAAATTAACCTTATCTGGGACTGTGATATGTTATCATAAACAGTATAAGCCAGTTAACCCAGTTCCTTTGTTATTAAACAAAAAACGTTAGATTATTTATTTGTAAATTATAAACATCTAAATAAAGACATTTTCAGTGAAACACATAATTGCCACAAGAGTTACAAATAAATGACATTTTTACCTGTTTATTGAAAACTATAGAGTAATTCATATAAAGGTAATGGTCTTCATTATTTTAATCTCTTTTACCAATAACTTGTGATAAAACATTACAAGAATATTTTTTACCTAATTATAAAAAAAATTACTGTTATTAATAACCCCAAATCTCCAAAACATAAAGCAGAACTCATGATTTATGGCATTTGCTTTGTTACTTATTCACTGATTTGCCTCAGTTATTCAAACTGAAATTTCTGGCCGGGTGTGGTGGCTCATGCCTGTAATCACAGCACTTTGGAAGGCCAAGGTGGGCAGATCACCTGTGGTCAGGAGTTCAAGACCAGCCTGACCAACATGGAGAAACCCCGTCTCTACTAAAAATAATAATAATAAAAATTTAGCTGGGCATGGTGGTGAGTGCCTATAATCCCAGCTACTTAGGAAGCTGAGGCAGGAGAATCACTTGAGCCCGGGAGGTGGAGGTTGCGGTGAGCCGAGATTGCACCATTGCACTCCAGCCTGGGCAACAAGAGCGAAACTCTGTCTCAAATTAAAAAAAAAAAAAAAAAAAAAAGGAAATTTCTGGTATTAGAGTAAGTGTAAAAATAATATGTACTTTGGGGTTTTTCTATCACCTGATAGATAAACCTACCCATCAGTCATTTTATGATGCAAAAAGCATAAAAACTTTAGTGTATTTTATACCTGTAAATTTTATTGAAAGTATGGAATCAAAAAATGCTCATAGAAGAGTAGTTTTGTTTTACTAACCTTGATAAACTGAAAGATGGATATATAGACATAGATATATAAATATATATGTCATGGTTTTAAAAAAATATTTCCCCAATGAAAAATAATAAAAATATGAAATAGTAAAATCTTTGTTTTCTGCCATATCACAACTGAATGAAAACAACTTAAGTAATATAAAACAGTAAGGCAGTAAAGCATGACTGTTATACAACATTTTTTATTATGCAGAATGACATAACTGTTTAAAATGATGGAAAGGTCAATGAAAAGGTAGTGAGAAATGTTTACTTATGGGAAAAAAGTAAATTTTTAAAAGTTAAACTTGTGAAACAATATATACATTTGCAAAAAAGAGAACGTATGCTATTTTCTTAAAATATGAACTTCGAATAAAGGTAAAAGTAGTAAGTAGCAGAGTAGATGCCAGTACGTAGACAAGGAAATAAAAAGCTTTTCAGAAGTTCCATCAGGAGAGAAGTTGGAATATGTCTCCATATTCCACATTATTTACTTTGCATGATGATTGCTGATTTCAATGTATAGTTATTCAGATTCTCAACTTACCTTCAGATCCTAAGAAGGTCATCATTTCTCTCAATTGTTTCTTTATGAGAAATTATCATTACATAAATACACATTTTTATAATTAGTTTTCAAAAGATTTTAGGAAGCAACACTCTAGATTAAGACAACATATTCGATTATACATGAACATATTACCTTTTACTCAAGATGAGACTACAGAAGTAGTGAAGTTGAAGTGAAGCTTCAAGAGATGATGTGCTACCCTAGAGGGCCAATGTATTTAAACACTCTGAAGTCCCCCATTTGTTTTTGTTAAATAATGGCAATTATGAGATCACATTATGGAAACTAAAAGTAATGCCCAAAATCTGTCTCTACAAATGATAAAAATAACCGTAACAAAGTGATTTTGCAATAGATGATTGTGAAGACAAAGTAACCAGGAAACAACTGTACCCACTGCATGTTAATCCCACTGTTAGTCTAGCGCTGAGTGAGTCAGATGACAGAAAAGCATGCTGGAGGAAACCAGGCATAGAAATAATTGCAGTGATAAAGATGTTTCCACAAGTATGTGTCCAAGGTGGAACAACTCTATGACACAAATAATACTTACCATGTTATCAAGATTTTACATGTTCTCTGATAACTCGTGGTAACTGGCATAATAAAATTACAGTCTTCATATACTTCAAGAGTTTTTCTTCAAATCATTATTTATCTCATACTTTTACCATCTTCTATTGACTTTAGAATATTTTAAGT
Organism: Homo sapiens; assembly: GCF_000001405.40. Taxonomy (NCBI): domain Eukaryota; kingdom Metazoa; phylum Chordata; class Mammalia; order Primates; family Hominidae; genus Homo; species Homo sapiens. The sequence goes on along the minus strand of NW_013171801.1, from coordinate 35,591 downwards.
TACAAAGTGAACGTAAACATTTGCCAAATTCAGTAATCTTTTGGGTACTATATGATAAAAAATTATTATATTTATGGTGAAATGACTCTAAGTGCTCACTGATACATATCTCACATATGACTGAATATATGTATTTGGAAATTCAATTTAATTTCCTGGAGTTTTTAAGGCTACATATTTTTCCATAGCAGCCATGTGTTGACATGATTACACTAGAGTGAAGGAAAAAATGTTTTCATTACATTCCTAGGAAAATTTGTGTAAAAATTACCCTACTCACTGCTGGTTGGATAACTCAATGTACTAAGAAACGAATATCAAAAACTTATATATAAAGTTGAGGTAAGTTATACAGCCTAGTGCATTGTTCCTCAGAGTGTGCCATATGGGAACATCACAGACAGCATCAGCTGGAGCCTGTGGAAATGTAAATTCTTAGTCCACCTTCGCAAACTTGCTGAGTCAGAATCTTGGGGTTGTCCTAAGGCGTTTGCATTTTAACATTATCTCCAGGTGATTCTTTGGGTACTGTGAAGTTTGAAACAAGGCTGGTCTCAGTGGCTCATGTCTGTAATCCCAGCACTTTGGGAGGCCGAGGCAGGAGGATTGCTTGAGCATAGAAGTTCAAGAATAGCCTAGGCAACATAGTGAGACCCGTATCTCCACAAAAACATAAAAAAAAAAACAACCACATATTTGTCTCTTGAATGCATTAGTTATCCTTAGGCTTTAACCAGTAAAGATAATTTGTGGTTTAATTTTGTATCAGATTTTTTAAGGAAGTATTTATTAGGTAAATTTTTATGCTGTATTGGAACAGCCTTACTGGAAATTATGATTACTCTCTGGGTAATATACAAGAAAATATAAATCATTTCTTAAGGCAAATAAATAATTCAAATTAAATTAGATAGATATTATTCTTATTCTTTTGTCATGAGATTTATAAGCATTATAGATACAAAGTTTCTTCTCATGTGTAAAACAAACACAATCTCTTTACATTCTGAGTGGAAAAAAGTTACATAGGGTTCAGTAACTATTTTATTTTTCCAGAGATGGGGTCTTGCTGCATAGCACAGTCTTGAGTGCATTGGTGAGATCATAGTTCACAGATGCCTGGAACTCCTGGGCTCAAGTGGTCCTACAACCTCAGCCTCATGTTTAGCTGGGACTACAGACATGTGTTATCACTCTTGGTTAATTTAATTTAAATTGTTTTTGGTGGAGACTTGGTCTTGCTATGTTGCCCATGCTGGTCTTGAACTTTTGACCACAAAAATCCTTCTGCCTTAGCCTCCAAGTAGTGCTGGGATTGCAGTCATGAGCCATTGTGCCTGGCCCATGGTTCAGTAACTACTGAACTATATCTGATTTTAAAAATAAACTGCTTCGATTACTTGGGGAAAGTCAAATGATTTTCTTCTTTTCTTCTTTCTTTCTTCTCCCTCTCTTCTCCTTTCTTACCTCTGGTTTTCTTCACCACTTCATTTATCCAACAATACTAGGTACTGTTCTAGTAGATCTAAGGTATTCATGTTCTAGTGAACATAAAGCAAACTAATAGCCCAAAGGCACTAACAAACAGCAAACTACATGGTAAGAAATATTGATACATCTTAATATACACACTTTAAAATTACAGTTAAACTTAACTCATCTACATGTTATGTTGGAATACCAACATGTAGGCATTAGTCCACCCATCATTTTCTGCTTCCCCAAGTTAGGAAGTGTGGGGATTATGTATGATAGGTCAAACAAGGATAGCAGACTAGAAACAAAGGAGTGACCTTCTCGTGTTAGTTATGGTCCCACCCTCCAGGAAGAGCAGACCAATTTAGAAGACTGATGAACCAGAACATGACTTCATATTTTATAATTAAAGAAAACAGATATCTTATCCTCTATGCCAAACACTGTTCTCTTTGAAAATGTCATGACCTTTCGTTACAAAGGAAACATCAACAAAGAACTACTGCTTTATCACAGGTGAGGCAATACAATTTTTGCTTAAGGATACAACCCATGAATGGGTATTTGTAGTGATGTTTATGCTGGGCTCTCCTCAATCTTGCTTCTCTATCTTCTTTACTGCCGTCTCCTTCTCCTCTTCCTCTTCATCCTCCTTGTCTTCCTGCTGCTCCAGTTGCTGCTCCTCCTTCTCCTTATTCTGCAATTCTCTTATGATGGAAACATGAAACCATTTATGACCAATATCCATGATATTTATTTATTTAACTAAAAATGTTATATTATGTTCCTGTTTGAATTACTAAAATGACATATATGATTGACAAATGCTGAACAACATATGATAATCTACTAGATAGATAGAATGTTGTTTATTCTGGAGACATGACATGAGAAGCTTTACTCTTGTTCTTAAGGAGTTTACAGTATAATTTGTGAATCAGACAAGGATAAAGGCTAAGACAGAGAAACCCAGGAAAACATGAGTCTAAAATTGGGAGAAGAAGGTCAACAATGGAGTTGCAGATTGGGCACTTATCATCTTATTGATTGTAATCAAACTATGAGATTATTACAGCTTATACAATCAAGATGTGTAGAGTCAGAAGAGAATAGGCTGAGGACAGATATCCTGCTGAGCACTGATGTAATGTGTAAGAGAAAATAGAAAGTCTATGAAAAAAATCTGTGATGGAAAAGAATAGCAGAAGAGGTATTTCTCGGCTGTTTGTATGTTGTGGAAGCCAAGAGGATGAAACATCAGGAAGGAAATGTTAATTACCATGTTGCAGTGACCTTATAGGTTGCTTAGTTTGCTTTATGTCTTTAAACTAAAATTTTCTTATTTATAAAATGTTACAGTAATACGTGAAACTTAAAGGAGAGTATATAAAAATCACATTGTAAATTAAAATGACTCAAATGCAAATATTAGATTCTATCATTATTATAATTTTCATCATCATAATCTTCATGAAAAAGAACATCTTAATTTTTAAAATTCTCCAAGTATAAAGGAGGAAATACAAAACCAGGAACAACAGGAATATATCTCTGGAAAAACATTAGAATCATGTCAATGATCAAGATGTTGCAGAGAGTTACAAATCTGGTCAAGTATAGATTAATTTATAAACAAGTGAAAGTAGAGAGCTTAAATGGGTTAGATCAAATGGGCTCAGTTTTTAATTCAGAGTAGATTGTTTTCTGGAACTGACTACAAGGTAAGATGAGTTGGATATTTCAGAAAACTTAATGATACATTTGGACATTTTATTGAAGGGAAAGGGTGAGAGCTATAAAACTAAATACAAGAATATTATTTGCTTAGCAACATTGTATGCCACATTTATAAAACATAAAATAAATTCTTTTCTTTGTACATTTGCGTTTTCTTGGTAGAGATGCAGTGTAAGAAGATTTAACAATTAGTAGGATTGAGATTTTAGCAAATATAATTAATCAAATTCAGACTTCACTGGAGTTGTTTGAGTTATTGAAAGTATGTACTAAATCATAAATATTAAGTTGTAGGTTAGGAGAATATGGAAAAAAAGAATGAACAGGTAGAACAAAAGGATGTAAAACTATTAAGGGCCAGCAGGGTTCTGTAATGCCAAAGTAAGGGATCTATGCTTCAACCCTTGCCTCCCTTCCAAAATATAAATCAGATCAATGCCTGATCCAATGGCATTTATCTCAATCCAAAGGCTATCTTTGACCTATGGCGCTTCAATCATCTCCTCACCTCTTTTCTGTAATATAGTTTATTTTAATCCACATCTTTCCTTCTCTATTCATGCTGTTTTCATTAGAGTTTTCCCAAACGCAATAAATGTATTTCTACCACAGTAGAATGCAGCCCTGCTATTTCTTCTGCTGGATTTTTTTTTTCATGCTAACTTATGAACATAAGCACTTCATATGTTTTCTAAAATGCCACTGTGCCAGAGAAGCTTTTCTTGACCATCCTATTTTAAATTGCCTCTTTGCCTTAGTCCTGCCTTCTTCATCTTTAGCACACTTATGATTACTTGAGATACTATGTATTATTTTTTCACTTGTTGTTTCTATCTCCCAACTACAGTGTAAACTGCCTGAAGGCCAACTTTCATCTCTCTTAGACCTTGCTGCATGTGCAGTATCTAAAGAGGGCCTTGTCAGGCCATCGAGTGTCACTCAATGTATAAATGAAGGAAAGTAATTGCTGACAAACTCATGGAGAACATTGTTGTGTTCTGAATTCTTGCCTAAAGCTATGGAGTGACATGGGGGTTATCTTCTGGTCTGCAGGGACTGAGATAAGAAAAGTGAGGACTTTGGAGGCTTAGCATATGTGCTGTGACAAAGGAATCCAGGAGCAAATCAAATGTTAGAGTAAATACGTGCAATAATCTAGCTGCGCTTGAAGTCCATATGTTGGTTAGATATAAGATGACAGACCAAATGAGAAATATGTGACTTCGCAGGACCTCTGATACAAGGTGCTTCAGTCAGTTCTACTGAAACTTGAAAAACAAAGTGACGAAAGAAATGTTTTATGTCTGAAATACACAAAAATAGAAATAAAGAGCACATACATAAAAATGTGCTGATATCCATTACTTTTATGAAAAGAATAGTTTTTTATTACTCGGAACAGCAGTAAAACCAGTTTAGCAGTTTGATATTAGAACTATCTAATCAAAGGTCAACTAAGAAGGCAAGTATTATGGCCTTTGTTTTATTTCACATTGCCTTTCTGTCAATTTTGCAAGAACTGGTGGTAGCGTGATGTGGCATCAGGGATGAAAATACACATGTAGAAACTGGATTTGCCACTGAAATATGTACAGAAAAAGAAAATAACAGATTGCCTGTAAAATGTTTCTTCCTGTAAATACATGTAGGTTCTGGCCTGGTGCAGAGTAGATATTTATAGATAATTTTAGTTAATATAATGCAGCACCCAAAATAGCATTTGACACACAGGAGACAATTAAATACTCATTAAATGAGTATCTGAATAAACAAAAGTTATTATCCACTGTCTGCAATTCTAATGTAAATTTCTTTTGTTTTTCCGTCATCATCTTTTATTCTCTGACTTACATACAGCTTAAGTATTGCATTCATATTTAACTTCCCAAAATAATTTTGTAATATATCCTTTCTCGATTAAATGTCATTAGCTATTATCTAATGCCTAGGGGATCAAGTTCAGTCTCCTTCCCATATCATTAATGGATACAGGGAATCCTATTGGAATACAATCTCCCAAATGCTCTGAAAAATAATTGCAATCTTATGAACCATTTCAACGTTGAATTTCAGAACAGTCCTCTTTTATCTCCAAAAGTTTGCTTTATTTTGTAGTGAAATATTTAATCTCTCATAGAATTCGGAACAACTAATTTTGTACACAGAAAGATAAAACTCACTTTCTAAAATGGAAATTGATAATATTTTTATATTCCCTTGTTAGTATTACGTTAGTTCCCGTGGCAATTGCTTATTAGAGTTACTTAGGCCATAACATGTAAATTTCTCACGTGTTACAGATGGTGCTTATGCAGCTTTTCCAAAGATTACATTTTGGGGCACAAAATTTAAACCACATCCAGGGACAGATTTAGTGGCAGAAAACCCTGCAATCAAAACTATACATTTTTCTGATCAAGAGATTTTATGTCACATATCTTTCAGAAGCGTCACCAATTCTCTAAAGTTCTTAAGTATTATATTAATACATATTTTGTTGATGATAAAACTGAGGTTTAAAAACAACAACAGTTAACAACAGTAGTTGTCAGGGCCAAGATAGGGTCTCTTCTCCACAGAGCCCAGACTTTTTTAACCATAGTGGGACAGAGGCTTTATCTCAGAAGCACTTAAATAAATGAATACATCTCAAGGGGTTTCAGAAGACTACAATTTTTAGACTGGAACTGCTGTTGGTTTTATGCTTTGTGCTTGTTTTTCCTCTTTTAACTGTCAGCATTGATATTTCTGGATCGTAAAAACATGTCACTAGACTTAGCTTACCTTTGTAATTATGTCCTGTGTTTACTAAGATGCATTGTAAGCATATGGATAGGAATAAGGATAATACGTTGGGTATGCTGGATACAGCTGATACTATAAATATGTATTATATTAGTGATACCTCCCCTGGATACACACAAAAGAAGATAGAAAATTGCAGGGAATTCAGACAATGACCATGCAAAGGTTTCACAATTGTTGTTCTTAAAAGCTTAGATTGTTAAAGTTGTTAGTATCTTCTATATAATGTACATAATCACTTGAACTATTAGTGATATTGTCCCTTTTCTAAAACACAAATGGTTAAAAGAAGATTAAAAAAAAAGATAAAGCATTTACATTTTCACTGTTTGTTAGAGTTTGTGGTTTTATTATACATGTGGGAACACTGATTACAGGCAATCAGTCCAAACTGGGCTGAAGTCTTCTTAAAAATAATACCTTTAGCTACTACTTTGTCCACCCTTGGGTATTATGGGGAGGTGGAGATTCTCCATGCCACTACTCCTACATTCTTTAATACTCTCTTCTGTTAACACGAGTAGCTACCTTCTTTCTTTGTGCATCTTTGTATTGGGTGCTTGTGATGGTTAATATTAAGTGTCAACTTGAATGAATTGAAGGATGCAAAGTACTGTTTCTGGGTGCATCTGTGAGGATTTTGCCAGAGGAGATTAACATTTGGGTCAGTGGACTGGGAGAGGAAGACCCACCCTCAGTGTGAATGGGCACCATCCAGTTGGTTGCCTCTTAGCTAGCAAAAGCAGGGGGAAGAAGGTGAACTAATCTGGATGGCTGAGTCTTCCAGCTTTCATCTTTCTCCCATGTTGAATGCTTCCTGTCCTTGAATATCGGACTCCAGGTTCTTCAGCCTTTGGACTGTTGGACTTACTCCAGTGGTTTGCCAGGGGCTCTTGGGCCTTTGGTCACAGACTGAAGGCTGCACCATCAGCTTCCCTACTTTTGTGGCTTTTGAAGCCACTGAGACAGAGCCACTGCTGGCTTCCTTGCCCCTCAGCTTGCAGATGGCATATCATAGGACTTCACCTTGTGATTGTGTGAGTCAATTCTCCCTAATAAACTCCCTTTCATATATACACATATCCTATAGTTCTGTCCCTGTGGAGAACCCTGACTAATACAGTGCCATATTTAACAATATATTTATTGTATTAGTAAGGATAATTTTAAAAATCCTATCACATTGATATGACAGTTCAAAATAATATGAGACATCAAGCATACACCCATTAAGAAATATGTTAAAATAAATAAAATTTTCTATCTTACATATGATAGCCAGTTTAATGACTTTATCACCATCCAAAAATGAGAAGGTGGGAACTTACTCTATTAGGTATGTGATTGCCAGCATCTATGCATGGTAGGTTATATATTATACTTAATAGAATTGAAATTGAACCATTTTTTAGGCCAATGGAATTATTCACCAGGCAATGTTAACCTAAGTTCTCAGAGAATAATTATCTTCCTCAGACTGGTATTACGAATTTCCATCTAAATTCTACAAGACATTTGAGACTTTTGTCAGTGTACTGTAAATAAATGCAATCAATGTGCAACATTAGCCATACATAATATGCACATATTTCAGAAGTAAGTATTGATTCTTCCAGGAGAATAAAACATGTTTAGACTCCACAACATCATCAGGAAAATACTTACATAGAATTTTCTTCTTTACCCATGACATTTCTTTGAAAAATTAAGAAACTATTAAAAGTTCAATACATGTTTTATTATCCAGTTTTCCAGTGAATGAAAGTGTCTTACCTCTTTGGATGTATCAGCTCTCTTGAAGAAAAAGAAAGTGAGAGAATAGTTTCTATCTTAATTTTATAATTCAAGATTGAGTATAAAAATACACTTAGCCACAATTATGATTAAACAGAATGGAGACAAAATTATAGGTAAATGATACATTAAGCTGCTATTTTTAGTTCATAACATCTTTAAAGTGAGTTAACAGTAGGTATTTCTATAGTTAATGTCCTGTGTTTAAATATCAGTTCACTTTGATTCGTATTTCATTTGTATGTGAAAGGCAGGGAAAATTCATCACCATAGATAAGGGAGTAAAAACTAAAAAGTGAAACTTTGCATTTGTTTTTTATATGAATATGTTTATAGTAGCTCAAAAGCTACTATAAACTAATAGAGACCACCTGTGTGTTTTCCTCTGTTTATTTTGTTCACACTGTTATGAAGAAATATAGGAATATTTCTTTTATCACAAATTTACAAGTTCTCTAATGAATAACAACTCACATAATAAAATTAAACTCATTATTTCAAATGATTTTTCTATAAATCATCATTTATATAGTTCTTTTACTTTCTTCTATAAATAATTAAATAATTATCTGCAGTGGATAATTATCAGCTGTTTGCAGCTGATTAGATAATTCAACTTACGTAGAAATGAATATCAGAAAATCATTTGTAAAGTTCAAATAAGTTGTAAAACTTACTCTATTGTTCCTCTGAGGGTGCCACATGAGACCATCAGAATCAGCATCAACTGGTGCCTGTTAAAACTCAAATTGTGAATCCCTCTTGCCAAACTTGCTGACTCAGAATCTTGGTGATACACCAGACCTGCATTTTAACACTATCTCCAGGTGATTCTTTGTGTACTATAAGTTTGAAAACCCACATAATAGATTTTAAAATACATTATTTGTCCTCAGACTTGATCCCATAAATAGAACTTATGGTTTAATTTTGCAAGCTGGTTTAGGTACTGCTTTCCTTCTTTAGTCAGGTCAACTTTCTGTTAAGAATAAAAAATACTTATGTTACAAAAACACACAGACCCCAAAGCACTAGATAAAATCAAATTAATTTTATTTAAATGAAAAACTACTGATACAAACAGGAGACAGGGAAATACTAGGTAGAAGAGAGTGGTTCCTCTGCAAAGGCCCCACCCTCAAGCCTGGAAACCCATAGCCCTAAATGAGAACAGGCATTCCTGTTTTTATGCCCAAAAGTTGCCTTTTGGCCCACCATGCCCCCCTATCCTGTATCCATATAAACCCCAGACCCCAAGCTCCAGAAGCAGATGAGTAGAGGAACAGAAGAGCAGAAGAATGGCAGAATGGCATGGCAAAGAAACAGCACGTGAACGCTGAGAGGAATTCGGCTGGGGATGATCAGAGAGGAGATCAGCCACTGGATGGCCAAACTCTAGGGGAAGATCATCTTCCCACTCCCCATCCCTTTTCCAGCTCCTCACCCATCCCACTGAGAACCACCTCCACCATTCAATAAAACCCCCTTATTCATCTGTGTGCAACCTGATTCTTCTTGGGTGCCGGACAAGGACCAGGGTACCAAGAGGGCACTGAGGAGGTTAACACTTAAGCCATCTACAGATGGCAAAGCTAAAAGAGTGCACTGTAATACACACCCACCTGGGCTTTGGGAGTCATGGGCACCCACCCGTAGATGCTACCATGGGGCTGGAGCCCTAAAGCGCTTGCTCTGGCTGTTGTACCTGCCCATCTGCATGCTTCCCCTTCTGTAAGAGGTTTGAGCAGGCGTGGTGGCTGAACAGACACACCTGTCACAGGTCTTGCAAGGGGGGGTCTGGGAACACTCCCATTTCACAATAATCAACCCAAATTATTTCTTAAATTCCTTTTGGAAGGAAAATAAGAAGCAAGTTTACTTCACTGACACGTCAGTGTTTGCAACAAAACACTTTTCAAAATACTTCTGACAGTTACTGGAAACCACTCCTACTTAGAAATAAAGGCCTAGGCTGGGCGCAGTGGCTCATGCCTGTAATCCCAGCACTTTGGGAGACCGAGGCAGGCGGATCACGAGGTCAGAAGATCAAGACCATCCTGGCTAACACGGTGAAACCCCATGTCTACTAAAAATACAAAAAATTAGCCAGGTGTGGTGGCGGGCACCTGTAGTCCCAGCTGCTCGGGAGGCTGAGGTAGGAGAATGGCGTGAACTCGGGAGGTGGAGCTTGCAGTGAGCCGAGATTGCGCCACTGTACTCCAGCCTGGGCAACAGAGCGAGACTCTGTCTCAAAAATAATAATAATAAAATAAGAAATAAAGGCCTAATTTACCCAATATAGGAATTTATTAAGAATTAAATAAGTTAAAACCTTCATTATCAGAGCTTTTAATGTCCATAGGGGGGCAGGCAGATAAATAAGCAAAAAATATTCTGGTAGAGCTAAAATGTATAGCCTTTCTAAGGTTACAGTTGCTAGCCATATATGGCCTCTGAGTCTCAGATTACTCCAAATTGAAGGAGAGTTAAAGTGTGAATACTAATTTCTCCATAGGAAGCCCTTAGGCTGTGCCCCAGAACAGTGTTTTGGGTCCCTCCTGGAATATCCCTTTCTGGGGTGCAGGTGCATCCTGCTACGTCTGTCTACTCCAGGTGTTTCTTGTGTCAGTGGCCTACCAACAACTGATTTACTACTTCAATATTGAGAAAGTGACCAGGTAAAGGCAATTGCCATCAATTGGTATAAGCCTGGAGACAGAGCTCAGATATATATTGACAAGGAGTAGGGAAAAAATGTGAAGTAAAAAATAAAAACATTACCTGCTGACACTTGTAAACCAAAAATAAAATTCTAAGAGTCCCCCCAACCAACTGAATGGATCCCTCCTTTAGGTCAAGGGCATTCCAAAGTAAACCTGAAAAAGTAATTCTGGCCATAATAGGAAAATGGGTCGGTCAGACATACCCCATTACACTCCTGTCCTTCTGGAATTCAGGCAAAACTGACCTGCATTACGATTAAAACAGAGATCTCAAGACTGACAAAGCAGTCTGTAACAATAAAATACCAAATTCCAATCTGACTCTAGAATAGCATCACATCAGGTATAATAACAGGCCTGAAAGAAATCTGTCAGGTTATAGCCCGAGCTGAGGTCCGAGGGGAGTGGTTGGAGGGGTAGTGGGTAGCTGAAAGAACACCTGGGGGAGGGTAGGTAGCTGGGACATGGCCTTATTCTCTCTCTCTGAGAGCCCTGTGCACAGTATCAGCAGTTTTACTCTCTCTCTCCTGTTCCAGCAGCAGCTCTGCAGCTTCTGCTGCCGCCACAACTGCAGCTGCACTCTCTGGAGTGCATGACACTTCCTTGATCTCTCCTGTCTGCCTCCAAGTTGGCTGGCTGTCTTATGCATGCAGGCACATTAGCAGCAGCAGCACTCTTCACAGCATCAGCAGCTTTACTCTCTCTCTCTCCCCATTTCTGGCAGGACAGTTATACTCCTTAAAGAAAATAGTGGCTCAGAGCCAAGTATGAGCTTACACAAACAGGTTACATAATGGTTAGAGTTGTGTGCCTGTGCTCCAAACTCGCTGACTCATGTTGGACTACCTGTTTGAGTTGGCCTATTCTTGAACACAGCACATCCATTTTCCTTAAAAAAAATCAAAGTATTTTTACTCAAAAATATATTTCTTTGAATATTTTGAAATTCTCCTGTAAAGTTGTCTCTTGTGGGGGAAAATCTACACTCTGCAGAGAATCCCCTTACCTTTTCAGGTCTTTTTTGATCCAGGAGAGACTGAGAGTCTTTCACCTTTTTTGGTATTATTAGAGACACTTGCCATCTATTCTCTCCAAAGACTGCTACCTGCAGAATGTTGTTTTCACAACCCCTTATCTTAACCCAGACACTCCTATTTGTTCATTCCAGGTATGTAGATAATAACATAACTCTTTCAACCAAATGCCAATCAGAATATCTTTGAATCCTCTTATGACCTGGAAGCTCCTCTACTTCAAGTCATCCAGCCTTTCAGGACCAAACCAATGTACACCTTACATGTATTGATCAATGTCTGACTGTAACTTCTGTCCCACTGAAGTGTACAAAATCAAGCTGTTACCCAACCACCTTGGGCACGTATTCTCAGGACCTCTTGGGGCTGTGTCACGGGCCTTGGTCGCTCATATTTGGCTCAATATAAACCTTTTATACATTTTACAGAATTTGACTCTTTTCCTTGATGCACTATAGTTCTGACAGCCACATTCAGCCCCCTAAATGACTTGGATTTTGTGTGTAATAACTTTTGCACTACTTTTTCCTAATTGCAAGTTTGATTTAGCTGAAAATTAGCAGTGTTACACAGTACCACAAAATAATAGGAATAAGCACTAGTCTCTATTAATTAATTCTTTGATTTTGAAATAAATCTTGCCTTATTAGATGTGCTGCTAGAATGCTTCAGAATGAATTTTAAAAAAGAAAGACAGACAAAACCAGGGTCTGGAGGATATCGAGACCTCAGTATTACTTATCGAGTGTCATGACGACTTTAGATTTCTCTTATATTAAGAACATAATTATTAGAGTAACAAGTAAAAGGGAAGGACTTTTATCAAGGAAAATCAATAAATTCTCTTTTTTTAGCTCTTGAATGTTAATTGCTTCCAGAAAAAAAGATGATAAATATGATAAACACCTTACATTTGGCAGAGAAATCTTAATGGAAAAAATTCAGTACAACTGAGAAGGGATCTAGCCTATAAATCATACAAAAAATATTACAGATAGGTTTTGAGATAGGTTTTCTCTTGGGGTTTCCCTAGAGAAACCAAAGAAGAATTAAACCCACTGTTCCCTATGTTTTGCTAAAGAGTATCTTTTCTCTTCACCATAAAGACAATTTTTAAAAATAATGTACATTGCTATTTGTAATGTCAGAAAATTCCTCAGTTTGTACACTCTTGTATCTGCAGTGCCTTGGAATAATATCCCCCATGTAGTACATGTTTAATAAATATTCTGTATGTGAATGAACAAATAAAAGTACAAGATGATTTTATGCAGTACATGAAGTTGCATTGTATGCTTATATTAATAATTATTTTTAAAATGTACATATACTTGCATAACAAACCTGTGATTGGATTATGATTACATAAACTTTCTATTTAAAACATACTGAATAGTACTAATTAAAAATCATTAAATATAGCGTAAGTGGGGAATGAAATGGTAAATTTTTGAAATGGCAAGTTTGGCAAACACTTGCTTACAATAACGCAACCCACTCAATGGCAAGGTTTCTGTTACTTAAAATAATTAGGGAAGATAGATGACTAGTGATGCCATGCAAGAATAAACCTCGCTTAACTGAATTATTCATGGCATTAAACCAAAAAAATTTTCACCATCATTAATACAAAGTATTAATGTTTTAAATGTATTCCTACTGTTTATGTACCAAAATGACACTATCAAAGAAAAAATCATTTATATTTTCAACTAAAACATTTACTAAAAAGAGTAGATACACATCTACAAATAATAATTTACATTAGTACATACATATACCATTATTGCCAATGTCTTACCTCTTCCCAATTGGGAGAAAAGTTCTTAGACTGATGTATATTCACAGACTTTTATGCAGCTCTGATGAACACAATAGATTTCCTCTTTGGAAAAAATGTAGATTTTTATGAAAGAGTGAAGTAGTTAATAGTTTTTATGCTAATTCTGCAGTGGAATTCGTCAATAAATCTCAGTTTAATAAATCTGGCTTTGTCTTAGAGCAGGGTCAAAAAACAGTTTTTTTTTTCTGTAAAGGGCCAGGGAATAAATATTTCAGATCTTCTCGTCATATAGTGTCTGTTGCAACTGCTTATCTTTGTTTTGGTAGCAAAATGTCCAAGCCATTATAAACAATGTATAAAAAATTAGGTGTGACTATGTGTCAATGAAATTTCATTTCTAGCCACTGAAATATGAATTTCCATGTACTATTCACATGCTATAAAATATTTTCTTTATAATTTTTTCAGGCATTTAAATATATTTTAATAAATGATCTCTGGCCAGATTTGGCCTGCAGGCCACAGGTACCACCCTCTACTTCCAAGCAAGGTTAGAAATTAGAGGCAAAAGTGAGAGAAGTGAACATGAACTCTAATCCATAGGATAGATTGTGAGCAAAGAAGGGGAAAGAAGAAGAAAGGATAGGTTTTTATCTCAGGCTCTAGATAATCTGTCCAATATGCATAACATCTTTGACTTAAAAATATTGTTTCTTAACTTTTCTGACAATAAATTAAAAACTTAAAATTATTAGGTAGAGAAAGATACGGTGATGCAAATTTTAAACCCGAATTTAAGTAAAAAGAATGAACTAAATAAATTATTTCAAAGGAATACATACAAATGGTCAACAGGTATGTGAAAAAGTGCTCTGCCTCACAAATCATTAGGGAAATGTTTATTAAAATCACAATGAAATATCTCACCCTGGTTAGAAAGGCTATTATCAAAAAGTAATAAATGAGAAAGCAGAGAAAGGTGAACTCTTATCCACTGTTAGTGGGAATGTTACTGGAAAGGGGTCCCAATCCAGACCCCAAGAGAGGGTTCATGTATCTTGCACAAGAAAGAATTCAGGGTGAGTCCACAGAGTAAAGTGAAAGCAAGTTTATTAAGAAAGTAGATTAATAAAAGAATGGCTACTCCATATACAGAGCAGCTGTGAGGGCTGCTGGTTGCCCATTTTTTATCAGCAAGGTTTTTATGACCTGTATTTTGTGCTGACTTACTATCTCATCCTGTGACTTGGAATGCCTGACCATCTGAGAATGCAGCTCAGTAGGTTTCAGCCTTATTTTACCCAGCTCCTGTTCAAGATGGAGTTGCTCTTGTTCAAATGTCTCTGGCAGGAATATAAATTAGTACAGACATTTTGGAAAACAATATAAACATATTTCAAAAAACTAAAAGTAGAAGTAGCATATGATCCAGCAATTTCACTACTATGTATATTCCAAAGGAAAGAAATTCATTATGTTGAAGCGGTATCTACATTCCCATGTTCATTGCAGCACTATTCACAATGGCCAAGATATGGAATCAACCTAAGTTTCCATCAAGAAATGAATGGAAAAAGAAAATATTGTACATGTACATAATAGAGTACTATTCTGCCAGAAAAACAAATGAAATCTTGTCCTTTGGGACAACATGGATGATCTTCAAGGATGTTATGTTATACGAAATAAGCCAGACACAGAAAGACAAATATTGCATGTTCTAACTCATGCAGAAGCTAAAAAAGTTGATCTCACAGAAGTAGAAAGTAGAGTAATGCTTACTAGAGACTTAGAAGGGTAGGGAGGATGAAGGTAATAGCTCAGCATTGATTACCCAACATAAAATTATAGCAAGGTAGAGGAAATGAGTTCTAATATTCTGTAGCATAATAGGAGTACTATAATTAACAACAACTTACTGTATATTTTCTAATAGTTAAAAAAGATAATTTTGAATGTTTCCATTGAAATATTTTTGAGGTGATGGATATGCTAATTACCCTGATTTGATTATTACACATTGTATACATTTATTGAAATCACAGTGTACCCCATAAATATATATGATTATTATGTGTCAATAAAAATTATAATAAAAGCCAAAGAAAGAAAGAACAGAGTAAGAGTGAGCCATGTAATTGAGGGAGAACATGGAAAAAGATGTAGGTGGGGAAAGATATGGTGATGCAAATTTTAAAAATCTTACTTTGAGTATTTGTATTTTCTCAGTAAAATGGGAAGCAAGGTCCTCTACTACTAAACATGAAGCCAAGGGAAATGCTATTGCTGCTTTAAGGATGAAATAATGGTCTAGGAACATGGAAGTCAATATTTAATGTGACTGCCTATCTTCTTTAGGAATTATTACATGCTAATGACCTTTAATTTATAGTCAGAACAGTGGTCATGTTTGAATACTTTTTCTCAGCCATTTTCTCTGGTTCAGAAGGTATAATTTGGGTTAATCTGGAAGATGATTTAGTTAAGCCAGTAAAGTCAGAGACGAGTAAGGCATTTGGGTATATGTGCAAGAGCATGATAATAATTATTACCATGAAGTTCAAAGTAGGAAAAGGGCAATGCATATAAGTGGTCTAAAGGTATTCAAATATGGACAAGATCATTGGAAGGTCCTTGGTTCTGGTGGGATCAAATAATTTTCTCTTCAGAATTTTAAAGAGGGTTTAAAGCGTAGGAGACTAGGAAGGATAATGATAAGATTGTGGAGTAACAAAATTACATATATGACACAATCTAGATATGTGTTATCTTATGATTATGATGTACTCATTAGCGGGGAATGTGGCCTTTTCATCTGTGTTTTATAGTGTAATCTTTTGCATCATCTAACACAATCTGGGGCTTTTCATGCCTCTTCATAGCACATTGGAATCTTCTCAACATTTTTGGTTCTATATGCTGGTTGGTTGGTGCTAATAGCATCTGATGGGTGGGAGGTCAGAGATGCACTAAACATCCTACAATGAACAGCACAGCCCCCGCAATAAAGAATCATCCTAAGCCACCTCTGTAACCCTAACCACTACTGTCATCTGGCTGAGGAGGGAGCCCAGGAAGTACTGCAGGCCTCCATCACAGTGCAGTTGACTTACAGAAAAGTGGGCAGGACATTTTTCTATGTGGGTCCCTGCCCCTGCTATTCCTATTGGTCAGGGCCTCCTGAGCTGGGCCTTCAGCAAGACTGCCCTACCCCTACAAGAGCACTTCAGTTGGTGGCAGCTCTGTGTTTCTCTGGGGAGGAATTCCCAGAGACAACCCTCAGCCTCTCTGCCAATGCCGCTGCAGTTGTAGCACCCTTGCTGCCTTCTGGCTGGGGAAACAATAGAGACCATAAGCCCTTTGATGAAACCTCCAACACACTGTAAATGCCATACAGAGAGAAGCCCAGTCTCTGTTCCCTGTGAGCCCCCAAGTCTCTGCTCTTCCCCAGGAAGGGCCCAGGCGTGGTCCTACAGTGCAGCCACCCAATCCCTAGCTGAATGTTTCCATTGATAGCAGCTCTCTCTCTGGGTTGGAGCTCCCAGAGGCAACTTCTAGCCTTCTGCTGTTGCTACTGCATGAGTACCTTCCTTGCTGTCCTTGGGTTGGGGAAGGGACAAAGAGCCTGACTGCTTTACTGGCACCTCCAGAATACTACAGCTATCATATGGAGAGGAGTCCAGTCTCTCTTCCCTATGAGTCCTCTCTACCTTTCTGCTCATCACCAGGCAGAACCCCCCAGCTAGGGCCTACAACACAGCTGTCCCATTCCAGGCTCATCATTCTGACTGGCAGTAGCCCTGTGTTTTCAGAGGTGAAGCCCCAAGACACAAATGAAAAACCTTCTGCCATCGGCACTGCCGAGGTCTCCACCCTATCTACCCCCAAGCTGGGTAGAGAACATAAAGCCTGAGCTCACCATGGGGCTGTTGTTTACAGCCAGGGAGTCCAGTGCTGACATCTGCAGCCAGCCTTCAAGTGGGAAAGGAGCTCATAGTCTCAGAGCACTGAGTGGGAACATGGCTGAAAATGCAAGGAAATACAAAGGAGCCACCTAGATGAGCAGGAGCCGACCTACTGGCCATTATGCTTAAGCGCCATCTACTAAATCACAGCCCAAACTCCAACACCAAAAATACTTTACTAATATTCCTCCCTGTGAAATCAAAGACAAGAATTCAGCCACAAATAAAGAGCCTGCACAAAGCCTCTATCCTCTGAAAGGATCTGGAAGTGAAGGCAACTGACTGTACTCAAATTACACCACAGTTAAGAGAACATCAGCCCACACAGTTGAGAAAGAACCACTACAAGAACTCTGGCAACTCCAAAAGCCACAGTGTCTTCTAATCTCTGAATGATCACACTAGCTCCCCAGCAATAGCTGTTAGCCAGAATGAAATGATTGAAATGATAGACATAGAATCCAGAATCTGGATGGCAATAAAGATCATAAAAATTTAGGAGAAAGTTGAAACCCATTCTAAGGAATCTAAAGAATCCAGTGAAATGATTCAAGAGATGAAAGGCAAAATAGTCATTTTAAGAATGAAGCCAACTGAGTTGGTAGAGCTGGAAAGCTCACTTACAAGAATTTCATAATACAAACAAACAGAAATATTAACAACAGAATACATTAAGCTGAGGAATGAATCTCAGAGCTTAGAGACAGTTTCTTTGAATTAACTCAGTCGGACAAAAATAAAGAAAAAAATTAAAATAATAAACACAATCTCTGAGAAATATGGGATTATGTAAGGAGACCAAATCTATAACTCATTGGTGTCTCTGAAAGAAAGGGAGAGAGAGCAAACAACTTGGAAAATATATTTGAATATGTGGTCACATATTTGAATGTGTGAACCTCGCTAGAGAGGTCAAGATGCAAATTTAGGTAATTCAGAGAACCCCTATGATATACTACATGAGACGACCATCCCCAAGACACATACTCATCGGGATCTTTAAGATCAAAGCAAAAGAAAAAATATTAAAGGCAGCAAGAGAGAAAGAGCAGTTCACCTGCAAAAGGAACTCCATCAGGCTAATAGCAGACTTTTCAGCAAAAACTCTACAAGCCAGAAGAGATTGGGGGCCTATATTCATCGCCCTTAAAGAAAAGAAATTCCAATAAAAAATTTATATCCAGCCAAACTAAGCTTCATAAGCAAAAGAGAAATAAAATAC
This sequence comes from Homo sapiens, assembly GCF_000001405.40. NCBI lineage: Eukaryota > Metazoa > Chordata > Mammalia > Primates > Hominidae > Homo > Homo sapiens. The sequence goes on along the minus strand of NW_013171801.1, from coordinate 17,052 downwards.
TTCAGACAAATAAATACTGAGGGAATTTTTTACTATCAGATCTGCCTCACAAAAGGTCCTTAAAGGGAGTGCTAAACTTGGAAATGAAAGACTGTCACTGGGCACACACACACACACACACACAAAACTTTCAAATACATAGACCATCAACAGTATAAAGCAAATACACAATCAAGTCTATATAACAACCAGCTAATAACACTATGACATTATAAATCTGCTTCTATCAATATTAACCTTGAATGTAAATGGTCTAAACACCCCACTTAAAAGGCAAAAAATGGCAAGTTGAATAAGGAAGGAAGACTCAACTGCATGATATCTTCAAGAGACTCATCTCATATGCAGGGACACTCATAGGCTCAAAGTAAAGGAATGGAGAAAGATGTATTAAGGGAACAGAAACAAAACAAAACAAAACAAAAACAGGGATTGCTATCCTTATTTAAGACAAAACAGACTTTAAATCAACAATGATCAAGAAGGACAAATAAGAGCACTACATAATAATGAAGTGTTCAATTCAACAAGAAGATTTAAATATACTAAATAAATATGCCCCTAACACTGAAGCACCCAAATTCATAAAACAAGTTCTTAAAGATTGTTGAAGAGACTTAAATAACCACACAATAATCGTGGGAAAATTCAATACCCCACTGACAGTATTGGAGAAATCATTGAGGGTAGAACACTAACAAAATATTCGAGACCTAAACTTGACACTTAACCTAATGGACCTAAAATACATCTAGAGAATACTAAACACAACAACAGAATATACATTCTCCTCATGTGCACATGGCACATACTATAAAATCAACTACATTCTCAGCCATTAAACAATTCTCTCAAATAAAAAAACCAAAACCTAAATCATACTGATATAATTTGGATGTGCGTCTCTGACTGAATCTCACATTGGAATGTAACCTCAATGTGGGAGGAGGGGTTTGAAAGGAGGAGATTAAATCATGGGGGCAGATTTCTCATGAATGCTTTAGCATCAGCTCTTTTAGTACTGTCCTGTCAATACTGAGCGAGTTCTCATAAGATCTGGCAGTTTAAAAGTGCGTAGCACCTGCACTCTTTCACTATTGCTCCTGACTTGCTGTGTGATGTTCAACCTCCCACTTTGCCTTCCTCCATGATTGTAAGCTTCCAGAGGCCTCCCCAGAAGCAGATGCCGGTGCTATGCTTCCTGTACAGCCTGCAGAACCATAAGCCTATTAAGCCTCTTTTCTTTATAAATTATCCAGTCTCAAGTATTTTAACAGCAATGCAAGAATGGACTAACACGCATATCAACCACACTCTAAGACCACAGCGTAATAAAAATAGATATCAATAACAAGATCTCTCAAAACTATAAAATTAAATAGAAATTAAACAACCTGTTCCTGAATGACTTTCAGGCCAACAAAGAAATTAAAGCAGAAATCTAGAAATTATTTGAAATGAATGAAAACGGAGATAAAACATACCAGAATCTCTGAGACATAGATAATGCAGTGCTGAGGAAAGTTTATAATGCTAAACACCCACATCAAAAAGTTAGAAAGATCTCAAATTAACAACTTAACATCACATCTAGAGGCCCTGGACAAACAAGAGCAAACCAACCCTAAAACTAACGGAAGAAAGAAATAACCAAAATCAAAGCTTAAGTGAATGAAATGGAGATGAGAAACATCATATGAAAGATTAATGAATCCAGGAGATGGTTCTTTGAAAGAATTAATAAGACTGATAGCCTTCTAGCTAGACTAATAAGAAAAAAGAAAATGAGAAGATCCAAATAAACACAATCAGGAATGACAAAGGCGACATTGCCACCAACCCCATAGAAATATTAAAAAAAACCCTCAGAAGCTTTTATGAACACTTGTAAGTACACAAATTAGAAACATTAGAAGAAATGGAGAGATTCCTAGAAAAATATATTCTCCCATAATTGAGCCAGGAAGAAATTGAAACCCCGAAAGAACAATAATGAGTTCTGAAATTGAGTAAGTCATAAAAAATCTTCCAACCAGAAAAAGCCCTGAAGCAGATGCATTTACAACTGAATTCTGCAAGACATATAAAGAAGAGCTGGCACCAGTCCTACTGAAAGTATTCCAAAAAGTTAAAAAAGAGGGACTTGCTCATAACTTATTCTATGAAGCCAGCATCATTTTCATCCAAAACCAGGCAGAGACACACATAAAAAAGAAAACTTTATGCCAATACCCCTGATGAACATAGATGCAAAAGTCCTCCATAAAATACTAGCAAAGTGAATACAGTAGCACATCAAAAAGCTAATCCACCATGATCAAGTAGGCTTTATTATTGGGATGCAAGTTTGGTTCAACATAAACAAATCAATAAATGTGATTCTTCACATAAACAGAAATAAAAACATAACCCATATAATCATTTCAATAGACTCATAAAAAGTGTTAGATAAAATTCAATATCCTTTCATTTAAAAAACCCTTAACAAACTAGGTATCAAAGGTACATATCTCAAAATGATAAGAGCAATGTCTGACAAACCCACAGCCAACATCATAATGAATGGCCAAAAACTGGAAGCATTCTCCTTGCGAACCAGAACAAGACAAGGAGATTTACTCTTGTCACTCCTATTCAACATAGTATTGGTAGTCATATCCAGAGCAAGCAGACAAAAGAAATATAAGGCATCCAAATAGGAAGAAAGGAAGTCAAATTATCTTTCTTCTCAGATGTTATGATTCTATACTTAGAAAAACCCCATAGTCTCTGCCCAAAGACTTACAGATATGATAAACAACTTCGGCAAATTTTGTTTGAGTTAGTTTCAGAATACAAACTCAATGTGTAAATCTCAGTAGCATTTATGTACACCAATAACATCCAATCTGAGAGCCAAATCAAGGATGCAATTCCATTCACAGTCGCCACAAAATGAATATAATACCGAGAAATACAGCTAGCCAAGGAGGTAAAAGATCTCTACAATGAGAATTACAAAACATTGCTGAAAGAACTCAGCGGCTACACAAACAAATGGAAAAACATTCCACGCTCATAGGTAGAAAGAATCAATATTGTTAAAATGGTCATATGGCCCAGAGCAATTTACAGATTTGATGCTATTCCTATAAAACTACTAATGGTATTTTTCACAGAATTAGAAAAAAAATTCTAAAATTCATTTGGAATGATAAGGAACCTGAATAACCAAAGCAATTTTAAGCCAAAAGAACAAAGCTGAAGGCATCACACTGTGTGACTTCAAACTATACTACAAGGCTAAAGTAATCAACACATCATGGTACTGGTACAAAAACAGACATGTAGACCAATTGAATAGGTTAGAGAAGCTGGAAATAAAGCCACACACCTACAACGACCAGATCTTTGATAAAGCTGACAGTAAGAAGCAATGAGGAAAGGACTTTCTGGTTGATCAATGGACTTTCTAGTCACTAAATGATAACTGGCTAACAATATGCAGAAGACTGAAACTGGACCCTACTTTTCACCATGTATAGAAATTAACTCATGTTGGATTAAAGACTTAAATGTAAAATCTAAATCTAAAACTTTAAAAACCCCAGAAGAAAACATAGGAAACACCACTCTGGACATTGGCTTGGCAAAGACTCCAAAAAATCTCCCAAAACAATTGCAAAAAACAAAGAAACAAACAAAAAACATTGATAAGTGGGACTTAATGAAACTAAACCGCTTCTGCACACAGAAGAAACTATTGAGTAAACAGACAACCTACAGAATGGGATAAAATATTTACAAACTTTGTACTTAACAAAGGTCTAATATCTAGAATCTATAAGAAACTTAAACAATCAACATGAAGAAATGAACGATCCCATTAAAAATGGGCAAAGGACATGAACAGATACTTCTCAAAAGAAGACACACGTGTGGCCAGCAATCATATGAAACAATGCTCAACATTACTAATCATTAGGGAAATGCAAATCAAAACCACAATAAGTTATCATCTCACACCAGTCAGAATGGCTATTGTTAAAAAGCCAAAAAATAACCGATGCTGGTGAGGTTGTAGAGAAAATGGAATGCTTATACTCTGCTGGTAGGAATGTAAATTAGTTCAGACCCTGTGGAAAGCATTTTGGAGAGTTCTTAAATAACTTAAAATATAGCTCCATTTAATCCAGTAGTCTGATTACTGGCTATATTCCCAAAGCAATACAAATCACTCTGCCATAAAGACATATGCATATGTATGTTCATTGCAGCAATATTAATAATAGCAAAGACATGGAATCAACCTAGAAGCCCATCAGTGGTGGACTGGATAAAGAAAATATTGTGCAGATACACCATATAATATTAATACTATGCAGCTATAAAGAAGAATGATATCATGTCCTTAGCAGCAACATGGATGGAACTGGAGGCTACCCTGAGCAAATTAATGCAGTAACAGAAAACCAAATACTACTTGTTCTCACTTTTTTAAGTGGGAGCTAAACATCAGCAACACATGGACACAAAGAATGGAAAAATAGACATTATGGTTTACTTGAGGCTAGAGGTTGGGAGGAGAGTGAGGATTGAAAAACTTCCTAATGGGTATTATGCTGATTACCTTGGTGACCAAATTATCTGTATACAAATCCTCCACAACATGCAATTTGCCCACATAACAAACTTGTGCATGTATCCCTTGAAACTTACACAAAAGATGAAAAAAAAAGAAAAAGAAAATAAATAAAAATCAAGGAAAAAAATTTACAGGCATACCTCACAGACATTGCAGGTTCACTTCCAGAGCACCACAATGAAGCAAATATTTCAATAAATATAAATAAAGAATTAACCTATCTAAAATGTCAATAGTGCCAAGGTTAAGAAACTCTGGTTTAAAGTATAGTACGTGCTTCATAAATGTATCCTGAGCTTGAATGAAATTTTATGATTATATGGAAAATAAAAGCAGTTAGTATCAAATGAGAAGTGTGTGCTATGAATTAGGGTTATGGGCTTTACGCTTTCATGATACCTGCTTCATGAACGTATTCTCTAAGCTCATATTTCTTATTCCATGATTCTTGATTACCTTTATTAATTAATTTTAGTAGCCATATTTCAGAGAAGATGTCATTGATTATATTCAAATAATCTCATTGAAGGAATTAAAACACTGTATCTGTATAAGAAATGCTACACTATTTCTCTTTATATAATGATTTGTTAATTACATGTCATATTTTTCATAAATTTGAATCATTATATAAATCCCCATGATTTATTTATTTTATTTTCCTTTTTCCTTCTATATTTTGATGAAGTTTTTAAATAGTATTCCAAATATTAGAAGAAAGAGGTTTCCAGTATAAAGTCTCTGTAAATTAGAGATAAAATCTTGACCAAGTTATGGAACTTTGCAGGTCTAAAGTTTTTCCTTCTCTAAAATAACCTTGGAATGTTACATAGACAATATGTAGATCCTCTTCCAGTTATTATTCCTTGAACATTTGATGTCCTTTTATTTTACCCTTTATCCTGCCTTCATATCTGCTTGCTTTCTTCAAGGCTTTATTTACATGGCTGCAGTTATTATCTTTACACTTCACCCACATCTCATGCTTGCGTATCTCATATTCGTCACCCAATATAGAAAAGAGCATTGGGTGAACAAATTCTGTTGCTAACAAATAGTACTAGAACTCTTTGCATTGAATATATCCTGCTTCTCGTTCAGCGCTGTCTTATCAAATTTCAGTGGGTGCAATTCTTTTTTTTATTATACTTTAAGTTCTAGGGTACATGTGCACAACGTGCAGGTTTGTTACATATGTATACATGTGCCCTGTTGGTGTGCTGCACCCATTAACTCGTCATTTACATTAGGTATGTCTCCTAATGCTATTCCTCCCCCCTCCTAATTTTACCTCTGAAAATAACAATTCTCTTTTTTTTTTTTTTGTGACAGAGTCTCGCTCTGTCGCTCAGGTGGCGCGATCTCTGCTCACTGCAAGCTCCGCCTCCAGGGTTCACTCCATTCTCCTGCCTCAGCCTCCCAAGCAGCTGGGACTACAGGCGCCCACCACCACACCCGGCTAATTTTTTGTATTTTAAGTAGAGACGGGGTTTCACCGTGTTAGCCAGGATGGTCTCGATCTCCTGACCTTGTGATCCGCCCGCCTCGGTCTCCCAAAGTGCTGGGATTACAGGCGTGAGCCACAGCGCCCAGCAGAAAATAACAATTATTAAATTGTTCATTGTGAAAGCCTGGGTTGCCCCACATGACATTTTGCTTATTTGTCATTGGGTTCTGATGCTTACTGGGCTCTTAGCACCTGGTTTTATCTTAAACCTCTGGCTTTTCAATTTTTTCTTAGGCAAGCCTCTTATTCTAGTGCTTTCCTTAATCATAGTTTTGCCCACTTTTCTGGGCTAATCAAGTCTGTAATTATACTGATTAGTGTGACTAAAAATTGATGAGCATTACAAGGCTATGTTATATTTATTGCACAATGCATAAAGCATTTTTCTAAGAAAAAACAAATGATATATAGAATGGACAAGGCATGCTTGTTTTTGTATTACTTTCTTAGAAACCTTAACTTTGTTGCCTGTGGCCTTGGCAACTCAGAGCTAAACCACAAAGCCACATTGGGTAGCTAGGGCCTTTCCTATTTGGACTTAGGACGCTGGAGTAATTTCATCATTTCTTTTCCTGGCTTCCTCCTGGCTCAGTATGAACATAAAATGAATATCAGCTGAACAATTCAAATGTATAGTAGACATTGACCTGGGTTTTCTGAGAAATATGAAATATATGTGACAATCAGGAGTGTCCCCCTCATTCATAGATCTAGGATGATATTAATGCAAGGTATATTATAAAGAAAAATAGTTATGTAGGTCTATACTCAGCTTATTTAATTTAGAAGGGCATCTATTTGTGCTTAAGTCCTGAATATATCTGTCATAGGCAGTAAATAGAAAAAATAAAAATTATAAGAATGAGTAACATCCAACACAGTCAGCCAAACACTTATGAATAGCAATCACTAAAGAGGCAAGGAAATTTGTAGACTTATTTTGTAAATGGGCACAACTCAAGTATTTTGAAGCCTACCTCAGTCTCTACTTTCGTACTTTGACCAAGACCCTGCTCTTTTCTGGGATTCAGTATTCTTTTTTGCCTCAATTTTCTGTACTTTCATAAACATTAGCAATCAATATTTACCTACTGGAAAACCAAAACAAAAACAAAGAACGTGAGCTCAAACTTGGTCAGTTTCATTTTAATAAATGTGTACCTGTATCATTTGTTCTCTAAAAATAGCCATTCTCTAAATGTTACTGTCCATCTTAAATTCTTCAATAGATCCCTCCATCTGCAGAATAAAATTCACATTCCTAAGGAGCAAAGCATGCTTTGTCCATCGTCGTCTGATTGCTTTCTCTTTTTGTGTTCACATTTTCATCCTCTCTCTTCCTTGAACTTCATTATCCAGGTTCACTACTTGATTTAGTTCTAGTTACTTGTTTCTCATATCCAAGACTACAGTCTTTAACTATTTTTAGCTAGAATTCTCTATCCTCCTCGATTAACTGCTTTATCTGGCTTCAAGATTCTGCTCAGGACTCATGGCCTCATGGAGATTCTATTTTCCTCTCCCATGAATCAACTAAAATGAACTAAGTATTCTCCTTCTGTCAATTGCACCTTCTTACTGCTTTATTAGCATATTCCTTACATGTCGTAACAAGTAGATTTTTATGTCTGTTTTCCCACGAAGGTTTTGACCTCCTTGAGGTCAAATGTATCTTTTATTTTTCATTTCATTCTGGATAATTTAGGAAATGCCTGCAAACATAGATATTTAATATGAAATACATTTTCCTCTAACAAACTTTATGTTCACCTATTTTCAGCATTCTGAATGTATGGCTATTCCTTGGATCTAGTCATCATACAGAAATTCTCTTCTTTCTAATGCTGAAATTCCCAAATGAAAAAATCTCTGTTTTTGTACTTCTCAAAATTGGTATCTTCTTAGGCCAGGTCTTTGCCTTTCTTGCCATCTCTAGTCATTCAAGCCCTCTTTTTAGTATGTTAGCTTAAACAATACCTGATGGTTTGCCATTTTTAACACAAACACTAATAATCCCAACCCTATCCTAACAATTCTCTTAACCTATTGATACTAAATCTCCGCCATCTTGCCATACAACTACTTAGATAAAAAAATCTGATATATAATCTCATATAAGTCATAATTATTGCTCGTGGATTTGTTATTCATTTTCATTTTCACATTAACCAAAAATTTCTGCTCTTTCAAAATTACATATATTTAAGATGTACAACATGATGTTTTGATACTTATATAGTGAAATGATTACTGTAGTCAAGCAAATTAATATGTCCATCACCTCACATAGGTTACTCTTTTTATCTTGTGGTAAGAACATCTAAAATCTACTTTCAGCAAATTTTTATTATACAATAAAATATTAATGATTATCATCCTCACACTGTACATTACATGTCTAAACTTATTCATCCTACATAACTGCAGCTTTGTTTCCTTTGACCTACATCTCCTTATCTATCTTCCACCCTGAACCCCTGATACCCATCCTTCTACTCTTTGTTTCTATATATTCAATTTTTAAAACAAGATTCCACATATAAATAACATTGTGTAATATTCGTCCTTCTGTATCTGGCTTAGTTGACTTAAAGATTCAACTATGTATAACCATGTCCTTCAATTTCAGTTGAGAACTCCCCCTTTCACCTCACTAGAACATTAAGACCATTTAACTTCAACTTCTCTACCTTTTATCTCAAACATGTATTGTATCTACTTATCTTCTTATTCCTTTTTGTTTTCTTAGGAAAACTGGTACATTTTTTATAGGTCTTATTCTTTTCTCCATGACTGTACAGGAACTTGTTCCATTAATTTACTCCCACTTCTTTGGTATGTTTCAACTCTTTCCTTATTGGCCTCTTTCTTGTAAGCTACAAGTCTTCCTTACCCTAAAAATACCTTCCCGTGGTTCTGATTATCCCTGTACACCTAGTCACAATCTTACAGTTCTCCTTATCTCCTCTTCTAAGTTTCTCAGAAGGGCAGTACACATATGTTACTTTTAATTCCTCACAAATTACTTACTTCTTAACCATTTGGAGTGTATCTCAATCAGCTGTGTAGCATTTCACTGTTGACCTCACTTGCTTCCTCTAGCAATGCAGGATATCAAGGAGAGGAAGTGGATTCTGTACTCTCTTATTCTTGATATCGCAGGTTTTTTTTTTTCCTATTTCCTTTTGCTATACCAGCCCCTGTAAAAGAAAGGATACTTGAATTTTGTTTTGTACAATTTCTTTTCTCACTTGATACTCTTTCCCTAGAGACCTTCACTTACTCCTTTGAAGGGAGAAATTACCTTTAAAAATTATACTCATGATTATTTCTTGAGTATCACATTTAATTTAAAACATCTTCTGGACACCTTCAAATTTACCACGTACAAGGTTTTACTCAGTGTTTCATTTCTAATTTCAGCCTGGTTTCATATTTTGATTTATAACATGGCTAACTTTTCAGTCACTCAGGCATAATATATTAATTCATTTCCCCAATTTTTCACATTTCTCGTATTTTAATGAGAAGTTTGTCTTTTTATTGCCTAAGATGCCCAGGACCATTTCCCTACTTGAGATCATCATAATGTCTGTCTTAGGCTACTGCAATAACATAACATAACAACTTCCTTTACTAGGTTACCTGATTTGTTGTCATAAAGTCATGAAATCCAAGAAATTTTACAATCCATTTTTCTTTCAAATCTCTAATATATTTGCTTCCACTGAATTATGTCACAGTGCATGCCTGACATTCACAGTCATCCATGATCTGATTCTATCAAACCTCTGCAATTGTAACTTGCAATGTATGCCCTCTGAATATCCTCAAACTGGTATGTTGCTCTTTCAGTTCCTGTGTTTTCTTCAGCCAAAATATCTATCCCCATTTAATCATCTCGCAAAATTCTACTCATTCTCTAAGGCTCAACTAAAAGAGCAGTTCCTTAATGGCAAGCTCCCCTGCCACACACAGCACAGAGGCCCTACTTTTCCAATTCAGGCATAATTAAATTGTACATATTTCAACCAAATGCTACATTGATAGATAAATTTTATAAAAAATTATCAGAAGGTTAAAACATGGGCTCTGAGACTCACATGTGATCAAACAGAATCACATGTAGTCAGACAGATCTGAGTCCAACTGGTATCTTTGCCATTAACAATATGGTTTTGAGCAAGTTACTTAACCTTTTGGCATCTCTGTTTTCTCAACCTAAATATGAAGAGGAGAGCTACCTCATGATGTTCTTGTGCAGATTATACAAGATAATATCTTTGCTTAGTGCTTGGCAAAGGGTTAGAACTAAGCAAAAAAACCCATCATTAATATTATCATAATTATGCTTGACCTGAAAAGAGATAATCAATATTAAAAGGTAAATAAAACTCCGTGATACTTTGCAAAATTTTTATTACAGATTTACTGAAGATTTTGCCTATACCAGCCACCCAGATTCCCTCTTCAAGTTATTCCATTACAGAGGAAAGTTTATTTATCTTGTGTACAAAATATTTGTTTTAACTAAATTATTTTTTTTTCCAAATCAAGTGGCCCTGGGAGAAACAGTTTGCCTCACATAACTAAGCTACCATCATGGACTTGTTATCTTGTCAGTTTCTTCATTTCAGCATAAAGCACTAACAACTGCTTAGGTTCACATGAAACTGTGGCCTTTGTGAAGCCCTGTGTATATCTAGCGTTCACATACAATTTTCCCACAACTGAAATCTCAAGGCCCCACTAGGCCCTAAAGAGACCTAATTATGTCCATAATAACTTGGGGACAGGGCCAGAGTATCACTGTCCTCCAGTCATTGTCTTTTGTTATTGAATAATTGCATTTCCTGGACAGGTTTCTTTTATCAACTTGTGAATTGTTCCCTTGTTATAATGATGCCCAGAATTTCTGGGGATATGTAATAGGCAGAAATCATTTTCTAATCATGTGGACTTCTTGGAATTAAAGCTCGCTATTGATCTTATTTCAAATCACAAAATTAGTGTGTCATTAAATATAGTATATAAACAGTCACAGAAGCTGATGGACCATCATCCATCCAGCACTACCTTCACTTCTCTTCAATCTTGGAAAAACGGTAAGAATTTTAGATACAAATTTGTTGTATCTTCTCCTAACCATGTATTTCAAAGTAGCTTGAGCTATAGAAGGAACGTAGTTACTTAAAATATAGTGTTTGAAATAAAAGTATTTAAGGTAGTACTGAGATTATTTTTAACACTTAGGCTAAAAAAGATAGAAGTGCCCAGAAGAATTTGGTAATGACATATAGCCTTCATGAGTTTAAGAAAATATAATAGCTAATTTTATGCATATATATATATATATATATATATATATATATATATAGTATGAGGCTAGTTCATAGTTAATATTAAAAGGAGATTCATTTTTTTAATTAATCTTCCAATTTGATTTAGCATATCACAGTTATAAAAAGAATTATACTTCAATTATAGTATGGGTAGATAAATAATTACTGGAAAAGCTTTGTCCAGCAGGTAGTTTACAGCAGTAGCATACTGAGTTGAGAAATGGAGGGAATGGTATGGGGGCATTTACTACTTTAAATGTTTATAAACAATGTTTTTAGAAGAGTTTACTCATCAAACTTGTCTAGAGCCTCAAACTTCCCAGTTTATTATCTAGTTTGTAATATTTCAAAACAATATTAAAATGAGACAGAAATACAGAATTAAGTAAAAAAGAAACAATGTGGTTTACTTTGTAAGAAAATTCTTAATGGGGTAGAAAAGACTTGGAAACCATAAACAAAGATAATAGATGATATAAAAGAAAAAGTAGCTTAGAGTGTACCAGTTGATAATGAAGCTCTGGCTTAAAAATTAGTATATAAAAGTATACCAGTATGTAGTATATTTATAGTATAGAAATGAGTATAAAAACTAGTATAATTAGTATTAGTATATATTAGTATATTAGTATATAAATTAGCATTGTAATTATACATTCGTATATAAAATTATTATATATATTAGTAGATTAGTAATAAAACTAGTAAAGTTTATATTACTTATAAAATATAGAAAATGCTGTGGGATCTTCCCTATGTGTAATTATATATAATAGAGTGTTATATTCTGTTTCTGAACCCTGACATAAAAATTTGGGAACTTATAGTGGTCTTAGGCAAAGTAAAATTAATAAAAACTTAATTAACATTCATAAAAAATCTAGAAAAAATATTTGTTTTCTGTAATAGAATTATGTTCAACCTTCAAATATTGAAAAGAACATCTCTCAAATAAATTAAAGACTTTTTTGATGAAGTATTTTAGTTCAAAAATTTAGTTCAAAAATTGAGTTTCAATATCTGAGAATGAAGATTTGAGTGGTGAGTAATATTGTGGCACAAACATTATTTTGAAATAAATTACAAAAAAATGTAAGAACACATAACAAGGAGATGATTTAGTATATTTTGGTCAAAAATATTAACATATATTTCACAAGAAGAGGTAGTCCCAAGCTTAGCAGTGGGCAAGAGGCTCTGACCCCTTGGCGGATCATCAAGAGAATCGTGTGTACATTTCAATAAAGAGAAGAGAAGAAGCCTAGTGTACAATATCTAAAGTCATGTGGCATAAAGGAGAACAGACATTATTAGCTATGTGGGGAAGATGAATATAAACGGAGAAGAAACAAACTCAATAGTCCAATAAAGTCTCTGGATAGTGACACAAATAAGGAAAGTGTTAAAATGAAAACCTCAGTCTTATTGGAAATGAGGAGAAATAAACTAAAATAGTCATGGTAACCGTTTAGTGAAAAGAAAAAAGGTAAAAATAAAATGTGACTTTTTTGTACACATTTTCTTGATCAGTCTCTTCCAGTAGAACTGAGGCTCCATGAGGGAGTAATATCAGGACTGTAATATTTTGTTCATTGCTGCGGTCCTGGTCCCTAGACAGTGTCTGGCAAGAACAGATTCTAAAGAAATATTTTTAAGTTAATGAATAAATCTTTTTTTAAATTTTATTTGTCTTTTGAAATTATTATTATTATACTTTAAGTTTTAGGGTACATGTGCACAAAGTGCAGGTTTGTTACATATGTATACATGTGCCATGTTGGTGTGCTGCACCCATTAACACGTCATTTAACATTAGGTATATCTCCTAATGCTATCCCTCCCCACTCCCCCCACCCCACAACAGCCCCGGTGTGTGATGTTCCCCTTCCTGTGTCCGTGTGTTCCCATTGTTCAATTCCCACCTATGAGTGAGAACATGTGGTGTTTGGTTTTTTTGTCCTTGCGATAGTTTGCTGAGAATGATGGTTTCCAGCTTCATCCATGTCCCTACAAAGGACATGAACTCATCATTTTTTATGGCTGCATAGTATTCCATGGTGTATATGTGCCACATTTTCTTAATCCAGTCTATCATTGTTGGACATTTGGGTTGGTTCCAAGTCTTTGCTATTGTGAATAGTGCCGCAATAAACATACATGTGTATGTGTCTTTATAGCAGCATGATTTATAATCCTTTGGGTATATACCCAGTAATGGGATGGCTAGGTCAAATGGTATTCCTAGCTCTAGATCCCTGAGGAATCGCCACACTGACTTCCACAATGGTTGAACTAGTTTACAGTCCCACCAACAGTGTAAAAGTGTTCCTATTTCTCCACATCCTCTCCAGCACCTGTTGTTTCCTGACTTTTTAATGATCGCCATTCTAACTGGTGTGAGATGGTATCTCATTGTGGTTTTGATTTGCATTTCTCTGATGGCCAGTGATGATGAGCATTTTTTCATGTGATTTTTGGCTGTATAAATGTCTTCTTTTGAGAAGTGTTTGTTCATATCCTTTGCCCACTTTTTGATGGGGTTGTTTGTTTTTTTCTTGTAAATTTGTTGGAGTTCATTGTAGATTCTGGATATTAGCCCTTTGTCAGATGAGTAGATTGCAAAAATTTTCTCTCATTCTGCAGGTTGCCTGTTCACTCTGATGGTAGTTTCTTTTGCTGTGCAGAAGTTCTTTAGTTTAATTAGATCCCATTTGTCAATTTTGGCTTTTGTTGCCATTGCTTTTGGTCTTTTACACATGAAGTCCTTGCCCATGCCTATGTCCTGAATGGTATTGCCTAGGTTTTCTTCTAGGGTTTTTATGGTTTTAGGTCTGACATGTAAGTCTTTAATCCACCTTGAATTAATTTTTGTATAAGGTGTAAGGAAGGGACCCGGTTTCAGCTTTCTACATATGGCTAGCCAGTTTTCCCAGCACCATTTATTAAATAGGGAATCCTTTCCCCATTGCTTGTTTTTGTCAGCTTTGTCAAAGATCAGATAGTTGTAGACATGCGGCATTATTTCTGAGGGCTCTTTCCTGTTCCATTGGTCTTGGTATCAGTTTTGGTACCAAGTACCATGCTGTTTTGGTTACTGTAGCCTTGTAGTATAGTTTGAAGTCAGGTAGCATGATGCCTCCAGCTTTGTTCTTTTGGCTTAGGATTTACTTGGCAATGTGGCCTCTTTTTTGGTTCCATATGAACTTTAAAGTAGTTTTTTTCAATTCTGTGAAGAAAGTCATTGGTAGCTTAATGGGGATGGCATTGAATCTATAAATTACCTTGGGCAGTATGGCCATTTTCATGATATTGATTCTTCCTACCCATGAGCATGGAATGTTCTTCCATTTGTTTGTATCCTCTTTTATTTCCTTGAGCAGTGGTTTGTAGTTCTCCTTGGAGAGGTCCTTCTCATCCCTTGTAAGTTGGATTCCTAGGGATTTTATTCTCTTTGAAGCAATTTTGAATGGGAGTTCACTCATGATTTGGCTCTCTGTTTGTCTGTTATTGGTGTATATGAATGCTTGTGATTTTTGCACATTGATTTTGTATCCTGAGACTTTGCTGAAGTTGCTTATCAGCTTAAGGAGACTTTGGGCTGAGACGATGGGGTTTTCTAGATACACAGTCATGTCATCTGCAAACAGGGACAATTTGACTTCCTCTTTTCCTAATTGAATGACCTTTATTTCCTTCTCCTGCCTAATTGCCCTGGCCAGAACTTCCAACACTATGTTGAATAGGAGTGGTGAGAGAGGGCATCCCTGTCTTGTGCCAATTTTTAACGGGAATGCTTCCAGTTTTTGTCCATTCAGTATGATATTGGCAGTGGGTTTGTCATAGATAGCTCTTATTATTTTGAGATATGTCCCATCAATACCTAAATTATTGAGAGTTTTTAGCATGAAGTGTTGTTGAATTTTGTCAAAGGCCTTTTCTGCATCTATTGAGATAATCATGT
The DNA here is from genome assembly GCF_000001405.40 of Homo sapiens. Taxonomy (NCBI): domain Eukaryota; kingdom Metazoa; phylum Chordata; class Mammalia; order Primates; family Hominidae; genus Homo; species Homo sapiens. Next base: position 1,618 of record NW_013171801.1, on the reverse strand, counting down.
GGTTTTTGTCTTTGGTTTTGTTTATATGCTGGATTACATTTATTGATTTTCGTATGTTGAACCAGCCTTGCATCCCAGGGATGAAGCCCACTTGATCATGGTGGATAAGCTTTTTGATGTGTTGCATAAATCTTTCCATACATATTTATAACTTCTTTATGCCTTTTGAAAAATTCAATACTGTAAATGGGACTTTTTTAAAAGTGGGGATAGAGTTGTTAGCTGAAAAATCTGAATAGCTGGCAATGAAGTTTGGAATTTGAAAAATGAGAATCGCAAGCCAGAATGGATTTTGACCTCCTTCATGTGATATAACTTCTATTTAGTATTTATTCTATTTATTTTCTAAATGCAGATATTTTTGTTATATATTATCTCTCTTTTTTTTTTGTTTTATAAAAAGTAACCTTACCTACATAAGAAAGTATATCCAATTGACCAATCTTCCACCATTCCATTTTTTCTACATTCACAGGACTTAGTAGCCATGAAGGTCCTCATCCTCGCCTGCCTGGTGGCTCTTGCTCTTGCAAGGGAGGTATGTGCACAAGAAAAAATTCCTAAACAATCAATAAATAGTGGACTATATGCTTATTTGTAGAGAATAACATCACCAACATTTTTTACTGTATAAATAATGAAGAATTTCATGAGAATTCTCTTGGCTTCTATCAAAATCATTTATATTTACCCACTGTCTCAACAGTTTCCTATAGTGCCCCAAATGCTTCCTGCACCAATGTGCTGCTAGTCACTAAAGAAAAAGCAAACAAATCAATAAGTAATAAAAAATCATAAAAATGGCAACGAAATATAATATTGCATAAATACAACTCCAAAGATTCTCAAGCTAGATAAATATATCTTATTCCAGTGATAAAATGTATATATACCTTACAGCCTAGGGCACTGGGTCAAATCCTGTGTCTGTCTGTACAAAGACATCCATGGGATGAAGTACAGAGACAATCATAATCATGATCATAAATATATTAATAATAATATAATAAAAATATTTAATACAAATTAAAGTGACTCTTCTTTTACCCATAAAAAACTCTGTCTTTAATAAATGTAAGATAAAAATATATTAATAGATTACTAAATATAAAAGACATTAAAGTAATTACCTTTTAAACCTCAAAAGTCATATAACATTTTTTATTTCTCAAATTTGTGAAAGAGATAGCTCTGCATAAGTGATGTAAAAATTAAGTAGGATGCATGTTTAACAATGAGTTAGCTATAGAAGTTGAATTTTTAAACATCTTTTCAGAAGGAACAATCCAATGCATCCTCTGAGGTGAGATTATTTTTTTAGAGAAAATTTATGAACCATAAAATAGTAAAATTCTCTAATGATCTAGAAGATTTAGCTGGTTGTCAATTTTTTTTTCCCACAGACCATAGAAAGCCTTTCAAGCAGTGAGGTAAGTTAACATTCTACCCAATTTTAGAACAGTAAAATCCTGTGCTATTTTTCTATGGTGTTACATCATGGCAGTTAAGCTAATGCAGCTATGTTAATGACATATAAGTTCTAGTACATATTTCTTTTATGTGTGTTTAAGGACAATAAGTATCTGGATAATACAACATTCTAGAACTTTGTAAATTG